>NC_000006.12:91851077-92002015 GCF_000001405.40 Homo sapiens | reverse complement strand
TAAACAACAGCAACAGCAAATAACAACAGGCTTTCAGTCTCCATCTATGATGCTGTGTTTTGATTAAAAGGTTACTGTACATTGTATTTTTTTTTTAGTTGAGAAGAAACATCAGAAGCAGTTGAAGAATAGGAAGTGGGATGAGGAGACTGTAATAGTCCGTTCTCACACTGCTATAAGGAGCTACCTGAGAGTGGGTAATTTATAAATCAAAGAGCTTTAATCAGCTCATAGTTCTGCAGGCTGTACCAGCTTCTGCTTCTGGAGAGGCCCCAGGAAACTTACAATCATGGCAGAAGGCAAATGGGAAACAAGCGCATCTTCACATGGCCAGGAGAAAAGAGAGGGAGTGAAAGGGGAAGTGCTACACACTTTCAAGCAACCTGATCTCTCATGAGAATTCGCTCACTATCACAAGAACAGCAAGGGGGAAATCCGTCCCGATGATCCTGTCACCTCCCACCAGGTCCCTCCCCAAGGACTGGGGATTACAATTCAACATGAGATTTGGGTGGAGACAAAGGACCAAACCATATCAGAGACATTTTGCTGAATGGCTTTTCAAAATCTTTATTTCAGAGTCGTCTGCCTCATTAACAATGGTTTTTGCCTTAGAAGTCTCTCTTTGATTTTATAAACTGACATGAGATTTCTTTTTCCGTTATAAATACATGCTGCTCTAGTCTTTTATTAAGCCCATCACACATTTTCACCATGTCATTTATAGGCACTTTTTCTTCACTGTTCATGATGTTATCTTTGTTGTCACTATTATCACAATCACCTTGATTCAGAAACATTTAGCCTATTTCACCGTTACTCAATAAATGGACAATGAAGACCACTTTATCAATGTTAAAAAATTCTTTGATATGCACTTTTTCCAGCTTACCAACAGACTGAAATTATGTGTTTTTTTGGCATATGTAAGGAGGTCAGACAGCATTGTTTCCAATTGACTTACTGTATTATTCAGTCACCACTTTGTGCATTATCATTATTGAACATAGTTGTATGCCAGGGGCTGTGTCAGGTATGAACAACTATGTCTTCAGTCACTGCGTTCCAAGCATAGGCAACAGCATACATGGCATCGTTCATGCTAAACTCCTTTTGAAAGCCCTCCAAACTCATGCTTCTGTTCACTGATGCTAGCATGCTGTTTAAGAAAGTGTTTTTACATTCACTCTTTATTGATTTAAGAATATTCTGGTCACATGGAAGAGTTGATGAAATTACATTTCTGGGAAAGTACATGGCATAAACATTTTTTCTGAGAATTTCAGCTGGAGGATGAGCAGAACAGTTGTCAAAGAATAACAGTCTTTCAGTCATTCCCTACAGTGAGCAGGCACTGCTGGTACAAAATGTTTATGAAACCAATCTAAAAGATGTTCCTCGTGATCCATGCCATTTTGTTAGCATAATAATGAACTAGTAAGAAAATCACTCCTTGAAAACAGTGAGGACACAGCTTTTGCCTTTCCCAGTAAGTTCACAGTTATGTGTGCCTGCTGCATTAGCACATACTAGTGTAGCTATTCTGTCCTTTACATCTTTCATTCCTGCAGGGGCTTTTCATTGTCTTTCTGAAGCACTAATGCAAAAAAAACAGTGATGTTTCATTTGTGTTATAGATATGTTCTGGCATCAGAATTTATCAGTGATAAAATAATAAGCAATCATTTTTGGCAAGCTCATCATTAATTTATCTGCTGCTTTGTGATCAGCATATGATAACCACAAATTTTTATCACTGCAAATTTTAAAAAATTTAGTGCCGTGTATTTTCTTAAATTTCTGTGACTAGCCTGTTGAATGTTCACAGTTTCCTTTGATTTCTAGTTCATGATGATAATCATCGATCTTTGCCTGGTTCACGATTGGCATACCATTTGGTGGCATCTGTTCACTGAAATACTGAGGGATCCACTCTTTCAATATACAATTGAGACCTTTATTTTTAGTTTTTTGTGGTGTTTTTTCATTTTTCATTAACTTATTTTTGTCACCTTTAGCATGGAACTTCAACAGTTTATCCTTCTGTTGCTTCAGGTCCTAGTCCTACATGATAGTCATTCCAACATCACACTTTTCTGTAAGATGTTTCACACTTGCACTGTTGTTCATTTTCTCCAACAGGTTGACTTTCTATGCCATACATAAATATAGATGTGTCCTTTTATCACTGTTACTCACAGGGGTATCTACAAGCCTTTTTGACATTTTCAACAATATCTTTACAGCAAAAAGCAGAGAATAAGCAAAAATAAAACACAGCAAGTAGTACGTGTGAGTCCTACCTTTTTGAAGAGCATTGTGTAGAACCTGCTTTATCACATCTGGCCTGCACACGTGCTATTTTAATACACTTTGTGGGTATGCTTGCATGGGGGAATACAGGTATACCTGAAAAACATATATCACAGCTGAAGGGGGTTGGGAGGATCTCTTTTACCTCAAGAATGCTGAATCAACTGTGTGTTGTGTGTCTTCTTCCTGACCATGACCCATCACATGAGATCAGGTGTGGAATTTTCCACTTGTGGCATCATGTCAGTGCTCAAAAGTTTTGGATTGTGGAGGATTTTGGAGTTTAAATTTTCTAATTAGTGATGCTTAGTGTGTGCTCAACATTCATTTAGTACCTAATAAAATATATTAATTACTTTAAGCTGGTTTAAAATTAAATATTCATAATAATTCATTGGCTATATTAAAATATTTTTTTCTGGGTGAGAAATTAAAATGAAAATTAAAGTTTTCCAGTCTATACAATAGCATATTTTAGTGGGCTCATTCAGAGAAGCAGAACCACTGTGATGAATTTATGTATATATTTATTATTTGTTAGAAGTATTTGACACAATTGCATTTAACCTTCTTCCTTAGTGTCTGATGGTGGAGCTTGAAGGTGTGGAGAAGAGAAAATGGATAAACTGGGGAACAGCAAGACAAGAAAAGCTGGAGCCCACAAGCAAACTGTGAGGTCCACTAGAACAGAATGAAACCATGTTAGTACTAGTTGCTTCTGACCTTGATGGTGCCAGTGTCCGGCAGAAGTTGAGGTCCTTCATCACTAAACTGTGCACCCACATCTGGCCCCGCAGTTGAAAAAGCTGAAGGGAAAGGTGAAGCAGGTGGCCAGCCAGCCATGGCCAAGGAGATAAATCAAAAGGTCAGCAACAACGTATGTGAGCTCAAAATGGCCACTGCTTCCCATCTGCCCTCTAAATCTCTCACAGGAATCCCTTTGATGGTCAACCCTAACTAGAAAAATACAGTAAAGGAAATTCTCAGAAACGTAGTTCAGCCTGGCTCAATTTATGTGTTACAAAGCCACCACACACAGCATTTTTCATTGAACCACGTTTTGCTACTTCTACTAAAAAATTCTGAATATGTTCAGAAATACTTAAAAGCTGGATTCGTAAAATCAGGCCACGGTGCAAGTCTAAGGCTACTAAGTGACACATTACTAAACTGAAAGGTAAGTCAGCAGATGAGAGCAACTGTCAGAATGTTAATTCGATTTAGTAATCAAATCAGTTTCTTGTTTTACTGAGTTGATCATCAGAATGAGTGATTTAATTAAGAATATAGGCAAGCTTAAATAATTTTGAAAATTTGGTTCTAATTTTAATAGTATTATCTTCAGATAAATAATCAGCAGGTGGCTTAAAAATCAGAGTTTTAAAACATAATTACATTCTATAATTCCAGGAAGCACTCAAGGCAGAGTGCATAAGAAATTTTATTCTCACAATAGTCTCAGAGGTAAATTAGCTATCATTTCTGATTGCAATGCTTTATTTGGTCATTTTGAAATTGTATTTATCATCAGCACCCCAACCATTAAAATTAGCATATTCCAGAGTTAAATCAAGAAAAGTGATTGGATATAGGTCATTTACTACCCTAACGAGAATTAGGTCTGCAATTCCCTCACACACTTGAGAAACAGAGTCTTGGGTCTGTTTCGGGCTGTTGTTAACAGAGTACTATAAACTGGGTAATTTATAAATAGCAGAAATTTATTTCTCACAGTTCTGGAGACTGGAAGTCCAAGGTCAAAACAATGGCATCTGGTGTGTCTGCTGAGGGCTGCATTCTCTGGAGGAGAGAAATGCTGTGGCAGGAAGTGGAAAGGCAAGAGAGGACCGATTCCCTACTCACACTGCTTTAAAAGGGCCCCTAATGCCATTCACAAGGAATGAGCCTTCATTGCCAAATTAGTACCTAAAGGCCGCATCCTTTAATATGAACACATTGGCAATACCTAAATTTTGAAGGGGACACATTCAAACCATATCATATAGTTATCTAATTTAATGGAGTCTTCATCTTAAATATTAAAAGCAACCCTAGATTTAAAAAAAGAAAGAAATTTGCAACCTTGTTTCATTTCAGAATAAAATTAAAGCAATAAAAAAGCATTAGATAAATAATATACCTAAATTAAAATCTTAAAATAAAAATTTTAAAATCTTCAATGTCATTTTTCAAATGAAAGTGAAGGAAAAGATAACATATGGCAGAGTCTTTAAATACAGAGCAACTTCCCAACTACTTTTCTATTTTAAAATATTGAAAATATATTAAACAACACAAAAAGAAAAATACATCAATAAACCCTGAAACTAAGTTCCAATTGATATATTGATAGAGATACATTTGACGTGGGAATTAATCTCTCATCCCTGTAATCACCTTTGTCTTTATGTTGTATATACCAATGCATGCACATATACACACACATTCTTTTTGCTTTCACTTTTATTTTAAGTTTAGGGGTACATGTGCAGGTTTGTTACATAGATAAATTTGCTCATTGGGGTTTGTTGTACAGATTATTTCATCACCCAGATATTAAGCTCAGTATCCATTAGTTAGTTTTCCCTGATCCTCTTTCTCCTCCCACCCTCCACACTCCAATAGACACCAGTGTGTGTTGTTCCCCTTTTTGTGTCCATGTGTTCTCATAATTTAGTTCCCACCTATAAGTGAGGACCTGTGGTATTTGGTTTTCCATTCCTGTGTTAGTTTGCTAAGGATAATGGCCACCAGTTCCATCCATGTCCATGCAAAGGACATGATCTCATTCTTTTTTATGGCTGCATGCTATTCCATGGTGTATATATGCCAATTTTCTTTATCAGTCTATCATTGATGAGCATTTAGGTTGATTCCATGTAGTTGCTATTGTTAGCAGTGTTGAAATGTACATATGTGTGCATATGTCTTTATAATAAAATGATTTATATTCTTCCGGGTATATACTCAGTAATGGGATTGCTGGGTTGAATGGTATTTCTGCCTTTAGGTCTTTTAGGAATTGCCACACTATCTTCCACGATGGTTGAACTAATTTACACTGCCTCCAATAGTGTATAAGTGTTCATTTTTCTCCACAACCTCGCCAGCATCTGTTTTTTTTTATAACTATAATGAAATTAGGCTTTACAAAGATTTTCTAGTTACTTTTATGGACTTTTTTTTTCTAGTGAGTACACAAGGAAGGCATAGTACTTTTTTCTGATGATCTCGTATATCATTATAGGAACACACAGTCATTTTCTTTTTTCCATAAGTTATTGGGGTACAGGTGGTATTTGGTTACATGCGTAAGTTCTTTAGTGGTGATTTGTGAGATTTTGGTGCACCCATCAGCTGAGGAGTATACACGGCACAATACTTGTAGTATTTTAGTCCCTTGTCCCCCTTCTACTCTTCCCCCCAAATCCCCAAAGTCCATTGTATCATTCTTATGCCTTTGTGCCCTCATAGCTTAGCTCCCACATATCAGTGAGAACACACAATGTTTGGTTTTCCATTCCTGAGTTACTTCACTCAGAATAATAGTCTCCAATCTCATCAAGGTCACTGCAAATGCTGTTAATTCATTCCTTTTTATAGCTGAGTGGTATTCCATTATATATATATATATTATATATATATATCGAGAGTTTATATATTTGTGTGTGTGTGTATATATATATATACACACATATATATACATATATATACACACATGTATATACATATATATATACATCTATATGTGTGTGTGTGTGTATATATATATATATATATATATATATATATATATACACACCACAGTTTCTTTATCCACTCATTGATTGATAGGCATTTGGGTTGGTTCTGCGATTTCACAATTGTGCTGCTATAAACATGAGTATGAAAGTATCTTTTTTGAATAATGACTTCTTTTCCTCTGCGTAGATACCCAGTAGTGGGATTTCTGGATCAAATGCTAGTTCTACTTTTAGTTCTTTAAGGAATCTCCACACTGTTTTCCATAGTGGCTGTACTAGTTTACATTCCCACCAGCAGTGTAGAAGGGAACACACAATCATTTTCTTAATCGGTCTTCTAATATTGGATATATAAGTTGCTTCCTTTCTGTTGCTTGTTTGTTTTGTTGTTACAAATAATTCTATAGTGAAAAGCCTTGTATATTTGCAATGTAATTGTTTGATTATTTCAGGACAGATTCCTGTAAGTAGGGTCATTTCATCACAAATTTTGCCCATTTTTAATTTGAATAGAGTTCCCACCTAATGTTTAAAGAAATGTCTCTGTCCTCACATCTTCACCAGCCTAGAAAAGTATTCATATTTTGAAAATTTATGCAAACTTTATTTTAAAAACTGATTAATTTTTTTATATTAATTACCATTTGAAATGATTAGTGAGGTTAACCTTTATATTGTATGTTTAGTGTGCAGTTATTCGTCCATGAATAAGCTATTTACATAATTTTCCTATTTTAAAAAAATTGGCTTGTTTGTTCTTTTTTTGTTAGTAATCTGTAGGCACTCTATGTACATTAAAGACATTTGCCCACCTTTGGGGTAAAATATACATAACATAAGATCTTAACCGTGTTTAGGTGCACAGTTCAGTGGTGTTAATTACACTCACATTGTTGTGCAGCCATCAATACTAAAAACATCTAGAATTTTCCCTTCATGCAGAACTGAAACTCTGTACCCTTTTAAAATAACTCTCTGTTTCTTCTCTCCCCTGAGGCCCCTGGCAACCATCATTCTACTTTCTGTCTTTTTGAATTGGACTACTCTATGTGTCTCATATAAATGAAGTCATACAATACTTATTCTTTGTCTCTAGCTTATTTCACTTAGTCTAATGTCTTCCTGATTTATTATGCATTAAATGATTTCATTTCTTTTTAAGGCTGAATAATATTCTGCTATACACACACACACAGTGGTAGGTTTATTCACTCATCTCTTGATGGACACTTGGGTTCCTTTCCGCCTTTTGACTGTTATGAAGTCAAATAGTGATTAATGGTGCTATAACCCTAAGTGTATAAATATCTCAATCCTTGCTTTCCATTATTTTGATTGTATACATAGAAAGGTGATTGCTAGATCATATGGTAGTTCTTTGTTTAGTATTTTGAGGAGTGACCATACAGTTTTCCAAAGTAACTGCATCATTTTACAATGTAGTTCTGTGATATGTATTTTCTTTACAATTTATAACTTGTATGTGGTCTTAGAATTTTAAAATTTTGTAAAATGAAATCTGTTTTTGTATTTATGTCTTCTATCATTCCATTTTTCTTATTTTACATATTTTCAGCATTTTATTATTTATGAGTAATTATTATACTTTCAATGCAATGATAGAAAATAAAATTTGTAGAAACATTTCTGAAAAATATTTGCCTTCACATATGCCATTATTTATGTTAATAAATATGTTCAGTAATACTATGCGATTCTATATAAGGAAGAATTCTAGAATTTCATTTAAACTACATGGTGTTGTGAAAGGCAATATTTAAAATGTAAAAGGTGTCCAGACTTTTTCTTATTATTCCCTATATGCTAGGTCCCTAGAAAAATACCGTGCCCAAAGAATTTGCTCAATAAATATTTATTGAATTTGAATTTCTTAATTCTGCATTTTATGATTCACTGTCTATGGTTTAGCTGTGGGTGCATGAAAATCAAACTAGAGTATTTTGGATGAAGCTAGTCATAATATTTTCAATAGCTTTTTTCCCCTCTGGGATATGAAAGAAAAGATTAATCCTTCCCAAAATGTGGCATGTGTCAAATTATCTTGTATGGTAGAGATTTGAAAAAGATCCCTGGTGATATTTCACCCTGTTCTCATAAAAGTACTTAGAAAAAAATGTTAGCATTAAATTGTTATTCTTCAGGAAAGATAGGTTGGATGGTCATTGTAACAGTTAAGGCTTGTTATTTCTAGAAAGATATTGTAAAAATAATTTTGAAAATAAACACCTATCATTAGGTCTTGTCAGGTTTTCTAGGCCCTAATATTGTGGAATTTACTCTTTCACTAATATGATCTTCCTGCCACTTTCTCCACATACTCAAGGTTTCATCAAATTGTCATTGTCCTCAAATCACAAATTACAAGGAATACTTTGGGCTTCTACACAGGACATTCTCTTGGCTTGAGATACTTTCCTCTCCTTGCCATAAATAATCTTACATCCATAAAAGGCAACATCTTTTTTCTGGAATTATTTATTTATTTAGCTATTTTCAATTTTTATATTGTTGTGGGTAAATAGTAAGTATATTTATTTATGGAGTTAATAATATATTTCCATACAGGCATGCAATGTGAAATAATCATATTATGAAAAATGCAGTATCCATCCCACATGCATTTATCCTGTGTGTTACAAGCAATCCAATTACACTCTTTTGGTTACTTTGAAATGTGGAATTAAGTTACTATTGACTAAGTTGTCCTGTTGTACTATCAAATAAGAGGTCTCATTCATTCTTTCTTTTTTTAAATCTGTTAACCATCCCCACCTCCCCTCCAGGCTCCTACTACCCTTCTCAGCTTCTGGTAACCATCCTTCTACTCTCTATGTTCATGAGTTCAATTGTTCTGACTTCTAGATCCCACAGATAAGTGAGAACACGTGTTGCTTGTCTTTCTGCGCCTAGCTTATTTCACTTAACATAGTGATCTCCAGTTCCAATCATGTTGTTGCAAGTGAAAGGATCTTGTTCTTTTTTATGGCTGAATAATAATCCATTGTGTATTGTTGCAGGAAGTCAGGGACCCCAAATGGAGGGACCGGCTGAAGCCATGGCAGAAGAACATGGATTGTGAAGATTTCATACACCTTGATTAGTTCCCCAAATTAATACTTTTATAATTTCTTACGCCTGTCTTTACTGCAATCTCTAAACATAAATTGTGAGGACTTCATGGACACTTGTCACTTCCCCAGTCAATACCCTTGTGATTTCCTATGCCCGTCTTTACTTTAGTCTCTTAATCCCATCATTTTCGTAAACTGAGGAGGATGTATGTCGCCTCAGGACCCTGTGTTGATTGCGTTAACTGCACAAATTGTACAGCATGTGTGTTTGAACAATATGAAATCTGGGCACCTTGAAAAAAGAACAGGATAACAGCAATGTTCGGGGAACAAGAGAGATAACCTCAAACTCTGACCACTGGTGAGCCAGGCAGAACAGAGCCATATTTCTCTTCTTTCAAAAGCAAATGGGAGAAATATTGCTGAATTCTTTTTCTCAGCGAGGAACATCCCTGAGAAAGAGAATGTGCCCCTGAGGGTAGGCCTCTAAAATGGCCCCCTTGGATGTGGCCATCTTCTGTGGTCGAGCTGTAGGGATGAAATAAGCCCCAGTCTCCCATAGAGCTCCCACACTTATTAGGACGAGGAAATTCCCGCCTAATAAATTTTTGGTCAGACCAGTTGTCTTCTCTCAAACCCTGTCTCCTGATAAGATGTTATTGATGACAATGTGTGCCTGAAACTTCATTAGCAATTTTAATTTCACCCCAGTCCTGTGGTCCTGTGATCTAGCCCTGCCTCCATTTGCCTTGTGGTATTCTATTACCTTGTGAAGTACATGATCTCTGTGACCCACACCCTATTCGTACACTCCCTCCCCTTTGAAAATCCCTAATAAAAACCTGCTGGTTTTGCTGCTTGTGGGGCATCACGGAACGTACCGACATGTGATGTCTTCCACAGATGCCCAGCTTTAAAATTTATCTCTTTTGTACTCTGTCCCTTTATTTCTCAACCCGGCCGATGCTTATGGAAAATAGAAAAGAACCTACGTGACTATTGGGGGGCAGGTTCCCCGATAGTATATATGTATGTGGGATATTTTATACTTGAGACTCCCAGGAATGGTTAGTGTTTCTCCAGAATATCATTAGCCCTCGATTTCAGTCTCTGTCCCAGAGTTCACATGTCACTCTGCCCTCATCTATGCTTATATGTCACTGTCTAAAGAAAGGTCAGCACCCAAAGAGCTGTAGGAGTGGCTTTAAATCTCTAATAATGGGTATTACTTGAGTCCCTAAAGACCCTCATGGTAGGTCTTCACAAACGGTTATTGTGCCATGGTGTTGTGAGACTTGACCTCAATATTTCTGAATATGTAATAGATAAGTGAGTTCTTACTCTGAAAACATACAAATTTTCTGCTTAATCTTAGGGCAAAATGTATACTTCTATAGAACAATTTCACTGTTCTTCAAAATACTTGAAAACTTATTCTCAGTTCAAAACAGGTTTCTCCTTCTGAACTGAAAGCTAACAGATTTGCAGCATAGTATTTGTTTGGAGCCCAAAGTGAGGTGAGAGATCTATAGATTCTAATCTTGGTCCTACCTGAGAGTAGATTTGAGATTGCTTTTCTGGGCTGTAATTTTTTACTTAAAGTCAATCAGTAAGTTTAAAAAACAATACAGGCTGGTCTTATTTGTACTTAGGACAATAAGTGATCGTACTTGAAACATCAGCAAGCAAAGACAGAGCTGCTTGAAAAGTCAATTATGAAACTACAGGTAACTTTTATATTTCTAGAACCATTGATACAATACCTTGCAGAATTCAAAAGCAACCAAAAAGATCTATTTGTAGAAAATGTAAGTGTTCCTTTGGATTTTCAAAAATTGTATAGGGAAGGGAAACTCACTCATGGAAGAAAGAAATTTTCGCAATGCAGAGAAGGGTAGATACTAGCAAAGGTCACTGTATTTTGTATGTGCAGCTCATATGGTTTGAGAAAACCATGAGGTTATCACTGAATGAAGGAACTGATTTGATGAAATAATTACTACTTTAATGGTATCAAGATGTCTGCAGAATAGAAGTTTAAAAAGAGCCTTGTTGAGGAGAATGGCATGAACCCGGGAGGCAGACCTTGCAGTGAGCCCAGATTGTACCACTGCACTCCAGCCTGGGTGACAAAGGGAGATTTTGTCTCAAAAAAAAAAAAAAAAAAAAAAAAGCCTTGTTAAATGGACATTAATTCAGGTGACTCTGTCACTATCCATGGACATGTCATGCCTTTCATGTGGTTGCAGCCTTAGGAACAATGCTACCTGTTTTGTTAATCTTTTGTTTCCCTATAGCAATAAATTCACATGCCAATTATCTTTAACTTATGATCTAAATTAAACATTGTAAAAACATAGCACAAACTGTATTAATTATATTAGTAATGATACTCTATTTCTTACATGAGCTTGAAAATAAGTACTTCAGTTATTTCTATTTTTACTTCTGAGAAACATAAGAGATCAAATGACATGTCCCAAAGCATCATGGTCTCTTTAAGGATAGCAAGGAGTTGATCTCACAGCTTGTATTCCAGAGTCCATCCTCTTTCCCTTATATCACACTGTGTTCACTTTCTAGATATAAAGAGAAAAATCATATAAGCAAAATATTTCCCTCCAGCTACTCAGTTTGTGCTTTTTTGACCCTGACTTTTCTCTCCTCTTTTTGTGTGGTGTTTGTATTGTAGTTCTCATTTTTCCAATGTCCACCTTTGGTCCAACCAGACATTTCTTGAAATTCTTCAGCCACTGAGGGAATAATCTTTCATGTTTTATAAGAATTGCTTTCCTCTCCAAGGAAGGTTGACCTGTAGTCTAGTCCAGTGCTGAACACTGAACAGTAGGTATTTGACTCTGGAGAACTCTCCTTCTCACAAACCTTGCTCTCTTACTGCTTTCTGCCTCCTAACCTGAACCTTAACCCTGTTTCTGACTTATTGCTTGAACATGATCTGATCATATTAACTCTTAACTCTTTGAAATGGAATGGTATATAAAGCATGTACTTGTAGCAATGACTTAAGGTCTCAAACCGAGAGTTCCCTTGCTTTGTCCTTGTAGTCCATTCCACACCTTGACTTTTAAAAGGAGGTACTATGAGTTACTCACAAAATTAAGCGCTATTAAACTAGTCTGCTCAAGGACATAATCTATTGAATAAATGAAATGAATTTGTATCACATATACAAAGTGAACTATGTGAAAGAAAGAAAGCTTCTAGGAATGAAGACTTTTTCAAAGATTAAATGTAGAAACATTTTCCTCTCCCCCATAACTGATTTGTGGAGAAGGTATTTGATAAATATTTTCCCCAATAAAGATGAAGGTCCTAAGGAATATTCTTTGAAGTGTAGAAGTTTTCCTAGTGACTGAGAACATTTATTGCGTGGAATTCCTGAGTGGCCAGAGTATAAAAATGTGTCTGTCGAGAAGTGCATAAGTACAGTGTGGAGAGGGTAGTGTAGAAGCCTCACTCAGTATCCTGGGGCGTAGGGCAAGCAATAGAAAGAAGTTCTGGAAGTTTACATTACATAATGCAGAAGCTGTAGAGTTTATTAGACACAGAGAGAAAAACACTGGTAGAACTACAACACTAAATTTACCCAAATTGAATGACACACAAAAGATGCAGCACAGCCAACTGCTGGTAGGAGCTGAGAGTATATATGCTGGCCCTTCTTTGAAACTAGAGGAGAGGCAAGGAAGTATAGACAATGAATTGCCTACATTAAGAATAACTATTTGGTATCACGTATATTACACGGACCATGAAGACTTGAGATAATGTCAAGGTCAGGCAAGAAGCATGCTCTGGTGACTAAACGATATCCTTTATTCCTGTTTTCACAGCATTTAGGCAGTTCTATCAGCTGATTATTATACATCCTCTTTTATCACTTTGGGCAGGCCCAGCTAAATGAGCTTCAGAGAGAGAGAAGGCCTACCAAACCCTGCTCAAATCTAGGTGATTCTCTTAAACTGAGAACAGCACTCTACTTAAATGTTGTTAGAAGGCTTTTAGCTGGACAGCAACTAATCACAACGAATGTATCCTGAATGAGAGTATTTACCAAAGAGAGATCAAAAACTGGATTTATCTCTTGAGTTACAAACAATCCAATTACATTCCTTAAAATATTTAAAAAATACAGTCATTATTGACCACAGTCACCCTACTGTGCTATCAAATAGTAGCTCTTATTCATTCTTTCTAATTTTTGTGCCCATTAATCAACTCCACCTCCCTCCCAACCCCCCACTACACTTCTCAGCTTCTGGTAACCATCCTTCTACTCTCTATGACTATGATCATGAATGGAAAAAAAACTGGTCTTGATTAATATTAATCTGATACCTTTTCCTACCGAAGGATAAATTAGATATTGTTAAATGTCAAAGTAAAAAGTTAAGTTTACTTAACTTTGGAGTTAAGTAAATGAAGCAAATATAAATTTAGATTTTAATATAAGCCCCTTAGAATACAAATGCCATGTGGGCAGAGATTTTTGTCTGGTTTGCTGACTGATGTATTCTCAATATTTATAATAGTGCTAGGCCTATATATTAGGTGTTTAATAACTATTTATTTAATGAATGCTTACATTTTGACATATCTGGTTATTGGCTAACCAATATCATGTATGATAAGGGATATTACCATAAATCCTGCAATATACTAAAAAGTTAATATGATGATGTCTTGGACACTATTATTCTAATAAATATGACAACCTAAACAAAATGGACAAATTCCCTGAAAAATACAAACTTCCACATTTGGCCATAAGAAATGGAAATTCTGAGTTCTCCTATATCTAGTAAAGTAATTGAATTGTGTGGGTAAAAGTATTTATGCAAAGAAAACTTTAAGGCCCATATGGTATCACTGATAAGTTATTTCAAACATTTAAAAAAGGAAAATTATACCAGTCTTAATGACTTATTTAAGGGAATAGAAGAGAAAGGAATAATTTCCAACTAGTTTTATGAGTCTGGCATATGCTTGACACTAAACACTGATAAGAACAAAGAGATCTGACAAACCAATATATCTCATGAACATATACAAAAAAGTTTTAAGCATATTATTCAAAAATTGAATATAGCAATATATAAAAAAGAATAATTCATCCTAACTATACAAAGTTTATTCAAGGATTGAAAATTTTGTTTAATGTTCAAAATTAGTATGTACAATTCACAATATCAACAGAATAAAGAGCATAACAAATGATCATTTCACTAAATGTAGAAAATAGATCTTAATAAAAATAAACACACTCATTTATGCTTTTAAAAAACTCCACAAGTTAAAAGTTGAAGAGAACTTTATTTTCTTAAAAAAAATCTAAGAACATATTTATAGGTGAAATTTTAAATATTTTCCCTTTAAAACAAGGAATAGGCAAAAATAACCACTGTAGATTTTTTATTCAAAATTTTACTGACAATCATAGGCAGAACAATAAGGTAATAAAAAGAAGTAAAAGTATAAAATTTAAAAACAAAATTTAAATTTTTGTAGATGACATGATTATATATTTAGGAAATGCCAAAGAACTTATAAAACATTAGAAATAATAACTGAACCTAGCAGGATTACTAGATATCATGTAAATATAGGTAAATTAATATATTTCTATATATTAATAACAATTAGAACATAAATTTAAGAAAAAAAACGTGACTTAAAATGGTATCAATTTAGGCTGAACATGGTGGCTCATGCCTGTAATCCCAGCATTTTGGGAGGCTGAGGTAGGAGAACCACCTAAGCTAAAGAACTCAAGACCAGCCTAGAAAACATAGTGAGATCCTGTCTCTACCTCGCTCCACTGCAAAAAAAAAAAAAAAAAAAAAAAAAAAAATTAGCGCCATGTGTTGGCACGTGTCTGTAGCTCCAGCTACTAGGAAGGCTGAGGTGAGAGGATCATTCAGTCCTTGGAGACTGAGGTAGCAGCAAGCTGTAATCTCACCACTGCACTCCAGTCTGGGTGACAGTGAGACCCTATCTCAAAAAACAGAAAGAAAAAGAAAAAACAATAGTATCAATTTAATATGAAATACCAAGGAATAAATCCATCAGTAATGCATAAGTCTTCTTCACTAAAATAGCAAAATATCAGTAATAGAAACTAAAGTGGTTCTAAATAAATACAAAACACACCTTATTAATATATTTGTAAAGTACCAATTCTTCCCAATTAATCTACAAATTCAATTAATCCTAAAATATTTTGATATAATTTTTGTGAGAGTGTTTCAAAATTCACAAGTTGAATTCAGTAAAATCAGAAAATTCTCAGTAGCTAAGACAAACATGAAGACAAATAAAGATATTTATTCTTACAGACAATGTGGTATGGGTATATAGACAGGCAAATCATTCAGTGGGGCAGTATCAATTGTTTACCAACACATGCCAGTCTCCCAACTTCATGGAAATTTTTCCAAAATTAACTTTTCTATTTGTCCTATGGTAAGTTAAGAACCTCATCACACTTTTCCTCCACAAATATCTAGAATATACATATAGAATTTATATGCATCGAGAGAAAAAAAACAGATATTAGACAAATAATAGGGACAGGCAAAATGCAAATGCTTAACAAGAATGTAGACTTGTGCTTAATGTCATCAGTAATCAAGGAAATGAAACTCATAAAAACAGTGAGATTCCATTCTGTACCTACTAGGTTGCTAAAACTTTGATGGATTATGACAGGACGTTAGGGAAACAGGAATACTTTTGCATTGCTGGTAGGTATATATATATCATAGTATGGCTGCCATTCTCATTCTGATGGTCAATCTGTAAAGACTAGATATATCAAATATGCAAAGATCTTATGGTCCTGCAGTCTTATTCCTGGGCATATTTCCTAGAGAAATTCATAGACAAGAGCATAATCTTTCATCTATAAGAAAGTTTGTGGTAATGAGAAGCAAGAAACACTCTAGGTATCCAACACTGGGGAAAGACAAAAGAAGAATGTGGTATAAACAAATCATGGAATTCTATTAGATATTAGAAACAACTAAACAGAAGCTAATACAGCAACATGAATCCATCATAAAAATTTAGAACTATATGAGAAGAAAAAAGTCAGATCTATACCTCAATAATTTCTAGGCAAATTACAAATACATGTGCATAATTGGTAGAATATAATCTAATGAAATAGGTACACATCAAACTCATCTGAATGGTTGCTTATTGATAGAAAGAGAATGTGAGTGAAGACCATAGTTAAAAGAAATTAACCAAATCAGTTTAATAAAAGGGCCTTTGTCTTAGTCTGCTTTGGCTGCTATGAGAAAATAGCTTAGAGTGGGCAATTTATATACAATGAAAATGTATTGCTTAGAGTTCTGGAGGCTGGGAAACCCAAGACCAAGGCACTAGCAGATTCAGTGTCAGGGAAAAGCTCTATCTGCTTCATAGATAGCACCTTCTATGTGTTCCCACATGGCAAAAGGGACAACAGGCTCCCACAAGCCTCTTTTATAAGGATACTAACCTTATTCATAACAGAGGAACCCTCATGACCTAATTACCTTAAAAGCCCCACCTCTTTTTTTTTTAATTTTATTATTATTACACTTTAAGTTTTAGGGTACATGCTTAACACTATCACTTTATTCAGCTCGAACATCTACATTTTGGGGTAAATCAACATTCGGATCATTGCAGTCTTAGACTAATGATAATAGCATTTCACAAAACAGTGAGTCTTATTAATTCAACTTTTTTGCCTGCCCTCAAATTTCAAAATAAATAAATAAACAAAAACTAATAAAGTCTTCTTCATATGGAACTACATCAAATGCATTAATTTTCCATTGCTGTGTAAAAAAAATGTAAGCCAACTTAGTGGCTTAATACAATGCACATTTATTATCTCACAATTTCCATGTATCAGGAGTCCAGGCATAACTTTACTGCATTCTCTGTTCAGGGTCTCACAAGGCTGCCATCAAAGTGTTGGCCAGGCTGTGTTCTTATCTGGAGCTTTCACTGGGAAAACTCTGCTTCCAAGCTCATTTGGGTTATTGCTAAAGGTAATTTCTGGAAGCTATATGGCTAAGGTCATTTTTTTCTAGCTATTTGTTAATTGGGGCCTTCCTCTGCTTCTAGGATGCTTATAGTTCCTTAGCATAAGCTCCATTCATAAGCCCTTGCAGGACATTACAGTATAGTTTTTCAAAGTCATAATGGGAGCTCTCTCTTTCTCCAGTCTGCCAAGACAGAGTCTTCATTAAAAAAAGTAATCATGGACGTGGCATGCTAGCACCTTAGCTGTATTATCTAACCTAGTCAAGGTCACATTCTACTGGTTAGAAGCAAGTTCTGCATAGAGTCGAGCAGAGTGGATTACAGGAAGAAATAATTTTTACTGAGGAATCACCTAAGGTGTGCCCTCTGCATTGTGCAAACTTTAAAATGAATGAGACACCTCTAACTTACTCTAACTTATGGACAGATTTCCAAATTACATTCAGTGACAAAGCAAGGTACAGAACCATATGTATACTATATTGTGAATTATGTTTAAAAATGTTGTGTGCATGTATGTATTTAAATTCACGGACTATTTCTAAAAGGATGAACAAAAAGTCTTTCCACAAAGCTTCACTGAGTTATGCAGGCAGGAAAGCTAGAGACTTAGTAATTGCCATTTTATGTATTTTCAATTTTGTACCAAGTTCATAAAGCAGCTTTTCAAAAAGTAAATATGATTTATTAAAATAAACTTGTGATGGTTAATTTTGTGTGTTAACTTGACTGGGTACAAGGATGACCAGAAAGTTGGTAATACAACACTTCTGGGTGTGTCTGTCAGGGTGTTTTTGAAAGAGACTAGCATTTCAATCAGTAGACTGAATAAAGATCTGCACTCACCAATTTGAGTGCACATCATCCAATCCGTTGAAAGCCCAGACAGAGCAAAAATGGTAAAGGAAGGATGAATTCACTCTCTTTCATGCAGACATTGTTCTTCTCCTGGCCTTAGACATCAGAGATCTTGGTTTTCTGGCCTTAGGATACCAGGACTTACATCAATGGTCCTCACCATTGTTCCTCAGGCCTTTGGTTCCCCAGCTTGCAGACAGCATATTTTGAGACCTTTTGGCCTCAATCATCATAAAAGCCAATTTTCATAATAAATATCCTCTTACATATTCCTGTATATAAATATCCCAGTAGTTCTGTTTCTCTGGAGAACCCTAATACAAATATTTAAAAAATTATAAAAGATTGTGTAACATATAAACTAATATAAATTGGAAACATCTCAGGATCAAATATTTTCTTCCTATCTAGAACTGTATAGGGAGGGAGTGAAGATATTATTTGTAATCATGGTCTTTTGAAAAGGAAATCTTTAAGTATGTAAGATAAGTTGCTATTTATTGAATGGAATTAAATTTTAGGAGACTAAAATATAAATTAATTAATAATTGTTAACTTCCATGAATAAACGGTAGTGAATATTCTAAACAATTTATTTTACCATCAGTACTTTGATTAGTATCATATATTCTATAGAGTCAATTATTAAGAATCACTTCTGTTTAAAAAGTATACAGTTGATCAATATTCTACTTGGATAAATTATAATATGTTAACTGAACTTGAAGTTGTGAAGATGTGATTTTTATTTTTCAGCCATTATGGATTGGTATTCTGAGGATCACTGTAGCACACTTCAGGAATCACTGTACAATATTATTACTATATTTACATCTCTGAGAGGGTAGAGAGCAAGTATTTCATCTATGTACTCCCAAAACCTATTAGTGATTACACTTTAATTGGTCCTCAATAAGTGGTTGTTGAACATCTGAAAATAAAATTGTGACTGGAGAGTAACGATATTGGTTTCCATGAAAAATCTATAAATACAAGAAAATGATCAATATTTGTCTGATAAAATATAATCATCTTTATCCCTGAATGTCTTAAAGATTCTGAAAGTGACATATAAGAAGGCAAAATTCAGTCTATCATCTGAAATGTAGCCTATACTTTCCCAGTTACCTAGGTACAGGGATTCCTAGGGTAGAAAATCCTAGGGAACAAAGCTTCTTTGAACAAACTCAGCCTGGGATAATGACAAAGTTTGGCTCTCCTTAGCACTGAACTGGAACAAGAGTAACTAAGAGGAAACATGGGGAAATAGTACTAACTTCAATGTATTTTATATTTTCCAGATATTCTTTCTCAAGAAATTTTATTCCTTCACTGGGCCACTTTTTCAAGTCTCTGATTTGTAAAATGCCTTCTATAGGCACAGAGGCTTCTGTAGTAGTGGCCTCACAGAGCTCACATGCACACATGCATGTGTGTATATATGTAAATGTGTGTTTAGTAATATGTGTATATGTATGTCAATACTTTAAGTGTTATGGTTTTGAATACTTCACATGTATTAAGTCTTTTATTCATTATAATAACCTTCAAAGTGGATGTTACCCTTGGTTGAGAAAACTGAAGCACAGAAAGTTTAACTAACTTAACTTTGTCTTAGGACTAGTAAGTGCCAGAGGGAAATTCAAACCCAGGCAGTCCACATCAGAGTCCAAGCTCTTAAACACTGTCTATACGCCCTCTCTAAGGTGTGCTAAAACATTCTGTCTGGCAGAACCTCACTGGAGAATATTAGTCTCTCTGAGTAGCTTTAGCTTATCCCCAGTATAAGATAGGGAAAGAGAAATTCAGACAGGGAACACATTTCTATGCTGACTTCTATAGTAATGAATTTTTTGATAAGAAAGTATTTCCTCAAAACCCTTCACCTCTTTTAATAGAGGCATTACCGTTTTGAAAACATCCAAACTGGTGTGCTTTGTTCTCTGAATATGCCTTAGAATTATCTTTCTTGCTTATCTTACCGGCTTCCTGATTTTTAATATGACTTCTCCCACTCTTGAAAAAAAATTCTACTTTGTACTTATGTAGTGCTTGCATTTCAAAGTACTCCTTATTATCACTCTGCCGTAGATTTGCTATCAGAGAAATGAGGGTAATGGGAAGTATATATAGGTGTATGTGTCTGTGTTGTGTTTATACTTTATGCTCTTTAGGGATCTCAGCTAAAACTTATAAAGTAGACAAAAAATAGTTTTTATGTTAAGAAATAAATATAGACTCATAAAAATGAGAATGCATATTGAAGAGGTGCAATATTTACATTACTCCATTATGAACAGATTATTAGTGCTGCTTATGGTCACTTTCTTACATCTTCCCAGCATAGAATATCTCATTTCATCATGTAAGTAAAAAGATAAAGAGATATTTCAAACAAAAGGCTCATTTTCTGGCAAGTTTTTAACCATCTATTGTTAATTTATACTTCTGCGCTTTCTTACCCCCACCCAATGCATATGCATTGAAATATACCAGCCTTTGCTTTTAAAAATTCTGTTTCTTGACAGCACTCATCTCAGTCTATACATAATTCATTATAATTACTATCAATAACTTTCTAGTGCCAAGCTCAATTCTCCCTTGAGCATTGAAAAGGGGTATGGCTGGCTGCATGCTTTTAGGCACATAAAACTGTCATAAGAGTGTGTATACACTAGTTCTAGTGGATACCAAGACTCCAGAAGAAACAGAGTACCTTTACAAGGAATAGGCATTGTGCTTCCACCTACCAAAAAAGTGAATGACTTAGGAGGAGAATTGCGTGGTAAAATTCAGAAACTTATATTGGAGTTTGCAAAAATAAAGATTGTGACTTGATTACTTTTGCAGTCAGTACTTTTTGAGAGAATAATTTAGACATCATACTGTTATTAATGCCAGAGTCACTTGTGCTTCTTATAGTTTGGTTGGGGAGATACTACCTGTGCTTAGAGCTAGGACTTTCTTGATGAAAGTGGAAGCTTAAGGCATTTGGAAGGAGATAAAATGACGATGTTGGTAGTGCTTGCAACTTCTCTTGCATGTGTGGGAGAAAAAAAAAAAGTTTAGATTGTGACCAGGGGTTTCTCAGACCAGGAAAAGGAATAAACATTTTCATTGTTGTGTGTCTGTATGGGAAAGGGAAGCAAAGGCTTAGAGTTGTTAGGCATAGATTTACTACCTCTGTGGATCGTCCCTCTGCAATTCAACAAAAATGTCTGATTTTTCTTAACTTTCTTCTTCAAGGTATCAGGGCTGCCTCATTTTTAAAGAACGGAAATACACATTTGGAGTCAGCATATATTTCATGTTTCTTAGACTGTTCCAAAGATTTGCTCGGATCCTGCTTTTAGCCCTTAGCAGTTCTAGGCTCAGTGTGGTTAGTTCCCCTGCATTCTTTTCTCCTGGGTGTGCAAATGAGCCACAAGCCTGCTGTGTGTCCATCAGGGATATGGAAGTTGTCAAAAGCCCTGCAGACAGAAACCTATTTGTCTTTTGCTGAAAGGGAAGAAACAGGTTCCTTGATATAATTCTTTTTCCTTTAAAATAAGGTATAACCAAAAATTACTTAATAAATCCTCATGGAATGCCTAGAAAATCAGTGGGTATATGAAGGTCAAGATAAAGGAAAGCGTGCTTTTAAAACCAACATACCAGAGAAATACATTTTAATGACTGTTGCCCCCTTCAAAGCAATCACCTGAGGAGCCTCTACTCCATTTTAGCAGTGCTGCCATAGCTCTTAACTGTGTTGAATCTCTTTTGGAATTGCGTTCAGAGTTAGTTTACGAGCCACATAAGAAAACCATTACTTTATGGTTACACCACCTAAAGTTCCATAAAGGGAATAGGAAAAACAAAGTGAAACAAATGGGGTGTGGCTTTACTTATCCATAAAATCAGCTGAAAAGATAGGCTTTGTATCCTTCTCAGAACATTGACAACTGATGTGCTTTTGGAAATGCAACAGAAAGAAAAATAGCCAAGTCTTCTTTAAAAAAAAAAATGCGTCTGATGCTTTTATACCTAATTCTATAGTTTTCCGTGAAACCTAGAAACACAGAGAATATTTTTTAAAAGATTGTAGATGAACAAGGCATTATATATATTCACCTGTGTTTCTGTATTGGACGAGTGTCCTTGTAGAACAATTAATCGAAGTGCAAATCGTTGCACAAGGAAAGTGCTTTATTCCCACTTAAGCAACACCAATAGCTTAATTACCTTTATTCATGTGGGTCACTGACTTAGTTTAGACCATTATCCATTCTCACATTCTTTGCTACTATACCTTCTTAGCAGGTATCTATGTCTCTTATTCTCTGATTCATTGCCTACACTGTAGACAGTATAAACTTTTCTAAATCATGTATCTAATTATGACAATGCCTGCTACAAACTTACAGTGATTCCCATTTAATTTCAGGACGAAGCTCACTCTTCAGTGTGATATTCAAATATTTGACAGTTCGGTCCCTTTCTAGACTCCGGATTAGTTAATCTAAACTTATCATATCTTTTTTTCCTTCTGTTTGCTCTCTGGACTGATTCCAAGATCACTGCTCTCTAACTCCAAAATTTCACACATGTATTCAATAATGCTATCTGAAATGTCTACCCGAGCTTTTAATTTACAAAGCAGCTGTTATTCCCCAGGGTTATTTTTTGCCCTAGACTGAAGACACAGAATTCCACTTGCTGGATATTCTTAGCATAGATATCTAGTGTGGATTATTAAAAACACCAATATCTTGGACAATTCTAAAGGCCATGATTCACTAAGCATCTTCCATCCAAGAATCTGCATTGTTTAAAAATCATGCCGGGGACTCTAATGTAAGTTTCAATCCCAATTCTTTTGGGGTACTCCCTCGTCACCCTTACTGAGTGTAGAAAAGGCTGTCATTCCTCCAAAACTGCCCCTATGAATAGATGATCAAGCACAATATTAACCAAATCATTGGAACTTGAGAGGAATTGCTCATTAATTAATTCTCATGAAATATCTACATATCCTGTTTTTCTACTGTGGTAACTAAAACAGAAAGATGGCTGCAAATAATTACATTATTTCCTGTGCATGCGTGCTGCTCTTCCATCAAAAGGTAAAATGTATGTCTTTCTCACTGCATCCAGGTGGTCTTCCTTTGACTTTTTTGAACAGTACATGGCAAAGGAACTAACGTTCTGCTTGTAAGCATTATGAAAATCTGGCAGATTTAGCTTCTTCCTTTTTAGGATACTTCTTTAAACCCAGATGCCATACAATGTGAAGCCCAAGCCACGGAGAGGGGCTATGCATATGTGCTCTAGTAAACAGCTCCATCCAACTTTTGGAAGAACTGACAGCCAGCATCAACTGCCAGCCAGGTGGGGGAACCATGTTGGGTCATTGCAAGCCCATGAGGCCTCAGAAGACTGCAGCCCCAGCCAAAATCAAGAGGGGCAGAAGAGTTCAGTACCACAGAATCATGAGAAATAAAAATTAAATATTGCTTCAAGCCTTTAAGCAGTAATAGGTAACTGAAATCCACATCCATTCTTTCTATTTTCTATACACTGCCACTCTTACACCACACTAAAACCATTCCCCCAATTTTGAAAGACAATATGATTTTTAATTATAATTGTACCCATTACATGGAATTAATATGGAGCTTAGTATAAGCCAATTTACTTCTTACTTTCATTTAACAAGGATCAATATGATACAGATGTCTCTAGTGCTTGTCACAATATTTTGGCTTAACTCTGACACCAGCAGCAGTGCTAGTGGAAGTTCCAGCTCACCTGCTCTAGGGATCAGTATCCGGCCCCAAGTTTGTATTGTATGTCTTTCCTCATTCTGTACTAAGACCTTCTCTACTTAGAGGAAGATTACATGGCCACTGCACAAGGGCATTTCAAACTTCTGTAAGTTGAGCCTTCAAACAATGAGATGGGCGAGGGTAGATAAGTGTTCCAATCTCTCATCTTTCAGATTGAAAATTCTGGGGTATTTTGTGCAGTTCTTAGATACCTTGGCTGAAAGAAGTCTCTTGCCCAACAGCATCCTAGTGCACCTTCTATTGACTTTTCCTGTTTCACTCTTTCCACTCTCTTACTTCTGTTTTCTGAGCTCATTTCACAAAATTCCTGTCTCATTCCTCGTCTCTTAAGGAAATTGTGTAAGTTCTAGTCTCACACTCTGCTTTCAGGAAAAGCCAAATTAATATAGTTACTTACATATGATTGTTACGTGATGAGTATTTTTGTACTACCCAAACTCTTATGTTGAAGCCCTAACCCTGATGTGACTGTACTGGATATGGGACCTCTAAAGAAGTAATTAAGGTTAAATGAAACCACAAGTGCGGGGTCCTAATTCAATAGAACTGATATCTTTATAAGAAGCGGAAAAGACACCAGATATTTTTTTCTATCTCTCTAAGTACATGCACTTAGCACTGTGAGGCCATGTGGGACATAGCAAGAAGGCAGTCATCTGTAAGCTGGGAAGAGTCCTCACTGGAACCTCGGAACTTTGACACTTGGCTTCCAGTTACCAGAACTGTGAAAAAATAACATTTATATTGTTTAAACCACCTAGACTATGATATTTTGGTATGGCAACCTGAGCTAAGACAACTATGAATTCAATGTGCAAAAATAAAGTGACCTTATTTTTCTTATCTGACATGCTTTCATGCCCCTATTTCAACTACAGGCAGAAGAGTTCTCTTGTTTTCATAGTCTATTCAGCATTTAAAGGTCCCAAGGCAGAGCCATTATCATCTCTCAGATGGTCTTCCCCTCTCTCTGATATCTCACAAATATTCCAGAATGAAGGCAGAAATGTACTCATCCTCTTGCCTCAAGGCAAGATAGACTCTTATCTAATCCACAGGCTCTTTGTTAAGTTTTATCATTTATACATATTTTCCGGCAGAGTCAGTGTTATCCCTTGGTGCCCCACCCTGATGATTACTGAGTCATGCCTGATATAGCCTTGCCTTCTTTGGGCCTTTTCTGAAGTACAGTAGGTCCCCATATGTTAAAAGGCTCATTTTACATCTACTACTCTTGTCTTGATTGCCATAACCTCTGATCAGGAAGTTCCAAAACTGTTGCCTCCTCTCTTCAAAGCCAGGAGTAATCATGTCCACCACTCCTTTTACCTTTATGCATCCTCCAATAGGGAGGTGAAAACTTCTGGATTCTAAAAATGATGTGGAGATGTATGGGTGCTATCTTAGGCCTATCTACAGAGACTCCTTCATCAGCTACTATGCCACATGCATAATATGGTACTGTTAACCTGGCTATGTCATAACCTTAAGGCTTCTCTAGGAAACTTTTAGTTTTCTCAAGCCATTTCCTGAGAATCAAAAACTAATAAAACACCACATGCTAGGATTCCACCAAACCTATCTGACCATTTCCATTATTACCCTTTTGTTTTAGTTACTTCAAGATACCATAACAAAGTATCATAGACTAGGTAGCTTAAACAACAGAACTTTTTTTCTCAAAGTTTTGGAGGCTGGAAATACAAGATCAAGGTGCTGGCCAATTTAGTTCCTGGTGAGAACTCTATTCCTGGCTTGTATGTGGGTAGCTGTTTTCTCACTATGTCCTTACATGGGCTTTCTTCACTGTGTACACTTGGCAAAGTCTAGTGGGTGAATGAGAAAGACAGAGGATGAGAAAGAGAAGAAAGAGAACTATCTTCCTTTTCTTATAAGGCCACTAATTCTATCACAAGGGCCCTACCCTTATTACCTAATGTAACTCTAATTATCTCACAAGTGCCCTGTATTCAAATACCTTCACACTGGGAGTTAAGACGTCAACACATAAATTTTGGAGAGACTTAACTTAGTTTATTGCATCTTTTTCTTCATTCTTAGGTTAAGCCCCAAGATCAATGAGTAATAAAGAGCTTGCGATCTTGCATCAGGCTCTTTTTTTCCATCATTTAAAGTATGATAGGATTTGTCTGTGTCCCCACCCAAATCTCATCTTGAATTCCCACATGTTGTGGGAAGGACCCTATGAGAGGTAATTGAATCATGGGGGCAGGTCTTTCCGGTGCTGTTCTCATTATAGTGAATAAGTTTCATGAGATCTGGTGGTTTTAAAAAGGGGTTTCCCTGCACAAGCTCTCTCTTTGCCTGCTGTGATCTATGTAAAATGTGACCTGATCCTCCTTGCCTTCTGCCATGATTGTGAGGCCTCCCCAATGACACGGAACTGTAAGTTCATTAAATCTCTTTCTTTTGTAAATTTCCCAGTCTCAAGTATGTCTTTATCGCAGCATGAAAATGGACTAATTCAGTAAATTGGTACCAGTAGAGGAGCTGAAAAGATACTCAAAAATGTGGAAGCAACAATGGAACTGGGTAACAGGCAGAGGTTGGAATAGTTTGGAGAGCTCAGAAGACAACAGGAAAATGTGGGAAAGTTTGGAAGTCCCTAGAGACTTGTTGAATGACTTTGATAATGGCATGGACAATGAAATCCAGGCTGAGGTGGTCTCAGATGGAGATTAGGAACTTGTTGGGAAATGGAACAAAGTTGACTGTTGTTATGTTTTAGCAAAGAGACTAGCAGCATTTTGCCCCCGCCCTAGAGATCTGTGGAACTTTGAACTTCATAGAGATGATTTAGAATATCTGGTGGAAGAAATTTCTAATCAGCAAAATGTATTCAAAATCTGACTCGGGTGCTGTTAAAGGCATTTAGTTTTACAAGGGAAATTGAGCCTAAAAGTTTGGAAAATTTGCAGACTAACCTTGTAATAGAAAAGAAAATCCCATTTTCTTAGGAGAAATTCAAGCTGGCTCCAGAAATTTGTGTAAGTAATGACGAGCTGAATGTTAATCACCACAACAATGGGGAAAATGTTTCCAGGGTATGTCAGAGGCCTTTGCTTCAGCCCCTTCCATCATACATCCAGAGGCTTAGCAGGAAAAATGGTTCCCTGGTCTGATCCTGGGGTCCCTCTGCTGTGTGCAGTCTAGGGACTTAGTGTCCTGCATCCTAGTCACTCCAGCCATGACTAAAAAGGGCCAAGGTACAGCTCGAGCTGTTGCTTCAGAGGGTGGAAACTCCAAGCCTTGGTAGCTTCCATGTGGTGTTGAGCCTACAGGTACACAGAAATCAAGAATTGAGGTTTGTTCTTTTGGCTTAGGACTGACTTGGCAATGCGGGCTCGTTTTCGGTTCCATGTGAACTTTAGTTTTTTTCCAATTCTGTGAAGAAAGTCATTGGTAGCTTGATGGGGATGGCATTGAATCTATAAATTACCTTGGGCAGTATGGCCATTTTCATGATATTGATTCTTCCTACCCATGAGCATGGAATGTTCTTCCATTTGTTTGTGTCCTCTTTTATTTCATTGAGCAGTGGTTTGTAGTTCTCCTTGAAGAGGTCCCCTTCACATCCCTTGTAAGTTGGATTCCTAGGAATTTTATTCTCTTTGAAGCAATTGTGAATGGGAGTTCACTCATGATTTGGCTCTCTGTTTGTCTGTTATTGGTGTATAGGAATGCTTGTGATTTTTGCACATTGATTTTGTATCCTGAGACTTTGCTGAAGTTGCTTATCAGCTTAAGGAGATTTTGGGCTGAGATGATGGGGTTTTCTAGATATACAATCATGTCATCTGCAAACAGGGACAATTTGACTTCCTCTTTTCCTAATTGAATACCTTTTATTTCCTTCTCCTGCCTGATTGCCCGGGCCAGAACTTCCAACACTATGTTGAATAGCAGTGGTGAGAGAGGGCATCCCTATCTTGTGCCAGTTTTCAAAGGGAATGCTTCCAGTTTTTGTACATTCAGCATGATATTGGCTGTGGGTTTGTCATAGATAGCTCTTACTATTTTCAGATATGCCCCATCAATACCTAATTTATTGAGAGTTTTTAGCATGAAGGGTTGTTGAATTTTGTCAAAGGCCTTTTCTGCATGTATTGAGATAATCATGTAGTTTTTGTCTTTGGTTCTGTTTATATGCTGGATACATTTATTGATTTGCATATGTTGAACCAGACTTCCATCCCAGGGATGAAGCCCACTTCATCATGGTGGATAAGCTGTTTGATGTGCTGCTGGATTCGGTTTGCCAGTATTTTATTGAAGATTTTTGCATCAATGTTCATCAAGGATATTGGTCTAAAATTCTCTTTTTTGGTTGTGTCTCTGCCCGGCTTTGGTATCAGGATGATGCTGGCTTCATAAAATGAGTTAGGGAGGATTCCCTCTTTTCCTATTGATTGGAATAGTTTCAGAAGGAATGGTACCAGCTCCTCTTTGTACCTCTGGTAGAATTCAGCTATGAATCCATCTGGTCCTGGACTTTTTTTGGTTGGTAAGCTATTAATTATTGCCTCAATTTCAGATCCTGTTATTGGTCTATTCAGAGATTCAACTTCTTCCTGGTTTAGTCTTGGGAGGGTGTATGTGTCGAGGAATTTATCCATTTATTCTAGATTTTCTAGTTTATTTGTGTAGAGGTGTTTATAGTATTCTCTGATGGTAGTTTGTATTTCTGTGGGATTGGTGGTAATGTCCCCTTTGTCATTTTTTATTGCGTATATTTGATTCTTCTCTCTTTTCTTCTTTATTAGTCTTGCTAGCGGTCTATGAATTTTGTTGATCTTTTCAAAGAACCAGCTCCTGGATTCATTGATTTTTTGAAGGGTTTTTTGTGTCTCTTATTTCCTTCAGTTCTTCTCTGATCTTAGTTATTTCTTGCCTTCTGCTAGCTTTTGAATGTGTTTGCTCTTGCTTCTCTAAGCCAAAAGAACAAAGCTGGAGGCATCACACTACCTGAATTCGAACTATACTACAAGGCTACAGTAACCAAAACAGCATGGTACTGGTACCAAAACAGAGATATAGACCAATGGAACAGAACAGAGGCCTCAGAAATAACGGAACACATCTACAAGTACCTGATCTTTGACAAACCTGACAAAAACAAGAAATGGGGAAAGGATTCCCTAGTTAATAAAAGGTGCTGGGAAAACTGGCTAGCCATATGTAGAAAGCTGAAACTGGATCCCTTCCTTACACCTTACACAAAAATTAATTGAAGATGGATTAAAGACTTACATGTTAGACCTAAAACCATAAAAACCCTAGAAGAAAACCTAGGCAATACCATTCAGGACATAGGCATGGGCAAGGACTTCATATCTAAAACACCAAAAGCAATGGCAACAAAAGCCAAAATTGACAAATGGGATCTAATTAGACTAAACAGCTTCTGCACAGCAAAATAAACTCTCATCAGAGTGAACAGGCAACCTACAGAATGGGAGAAAAGTTTTGCAACCTACTTATCTGACAAAGGGCTAATATCCAGAATCTACAATGAACTCAAACAAATTTACAAGAAAAAAACAAACAAACAAACAACCCCATCAAAAAGTGGGCGAAGGATATGAACGGACACTTCTCAAAAGAAGACATTTATGCAGCCAAACGACACATGAAAAAATGCTCATCATCACTGGCCATCAGAGAAATGCAAATCAAAACCACAGTGAGATACCATCTCACACCAGTTAGAATGGCAATCATTAAAAAGTCAGGAAACAACAGGTGCCAGAGAGGATGTGGAGAAATAGGAACACCTTTACACTGTTGGTGGGACTGTAAACTAGTTCAACCATTGTGGAAGTCAGTGTGGCGATTCCTCAGGGATCTAGAAGTAGAAATACTATTTGACCCAGCCATCCCATTACTGGGTATATACCCAAAGGATTATAAATCATGCTGCTATAAAGACACATGCACATGTATGTCTATAGTGGCACTATTCACAATAGCAAAGACTTGGAACCAACCTAAATGTCCAACAATGATAGACTGAATTAAGAAAATGTGGCACATATACACCATGGAATACTATGCAGCCATAAAAAACGATGAGTTCATGTCCTTTGTAGGGACATGGATGAGACTGGAAACCATCATTCTCAGCAAACTATCACAAGGACAAAAAAACCAAACACCACATGTTCTCACTCATAGGTGGGAATTGAACAATGAGAACACATGGACACAGGAAGGAGAACATCACACACTGGGGACTGTTGTGGGGTGGGGGGAAGGGGGTGGGATAGCATTAGGAGATATACCTAATGCTAAATGACGAGTTAATGGGTGCAGCACACCAACATGGCACATGTATACATATGTAACAAACCTGCACATTGTGCACATGTACCCTAAAACTTAAAGTATTATAATAATAATAATAATAATAATAATAAAGAAAAAAGAATTGAGGTTTGGGAACCTCCACCTAGATTTCAGAGGATGTATGGAAATTCCTGGATGCCCAGGCAGAAGGTTGCTACAGCGGTTGGGCTTTCATGGAAAACATCTGCTAGGGCAATGTTGAAGAGAAATGTGGGGTCAGAGCTCCCAGAGAGCCCATGAAAGCAGCTGGGAGGGAGGTGGTACCCTGCAAAGCCACAGAGGCAGACCTGCCCAAGACCATGGGAACCCACCTCTTGCATCAGCATGACCTGGATGTGAGACATGGAGCCAAAGGAAATCATTTTGAAGTTTCAAGATTTGACTCCCCTGCTGGATTTCGGGACTTCCATGGGGGCTGTAACCCCTTTGTTTTGGCCAATTTCTCCCATTTGGAATGGCTGTATTTACCCAATGCCTGTACCCTCATTGTATCTAGGAAGTAACTAACTTGTTATTGATTTTACAGGCTCATAGGTGGAAGGGACTTGCCTTGTCTCGGGTGAGACTTCAGGGTTTGGACTGTGGACTGTTGAGTTAATGCTGAAATGTGTTAAGACTTTGGGGAACTGTTGAGAAGGCATGATTGGTTTTGAAATGTGATGATATGAGATTTGGGAGGGGCCTGGGGTGGAATGATACGGTTTGGCTGTGTCCTCATCCAAATCTCATCTTGAATTCCCACCTGTTGTGGGAGTGACCTGTTGGGTGGTAATTGAATCATGGGGGCAGGGATTTCCCGTGCTGTTCTCATGATAGTGAGTAAGTCTCATGAGATCTTGTGGTTTTGAAAAGGGGAGATTCCCTGCACAATATCTTTCTCTGCCTGCTGTCATCCATGTAACATATGACTTGCTCATCCTTGTCTTCTGCCATGATCATAAGGCCTCCTCACCATGTGGAACTGTAAGTCCATTAAACCTCTTTTTTGTAAATTGCCCAGTCAGTGGTATATCTTTATCAGCAGAGTAAAAGTGGTCTAATATAAAGTGTTTTTGCTTTCCGTGTCTGTCTGGAAAGATTCCTACTCAACCATTATACTTATACCCTTTTCCCTCTCTATATATGGGCTTTAGTTTTGCAGACAGTGTCATCCTTTGAAAAGCTTGATGTCTTGCTGCAAAACCATGGTCAAGTTTTAACGTTTGGATGGTACAGAAAAAGGGAAAGAAACAAAACAACCAAAGTAAGCAAACCAAAAAAATACACTGGGAGGCTTTACAGATATTATCTTCATTATGTTAACAATATCTTGTTTCCTTTCGAGTCTAGATGTTTTGTTTAAAATATTTTAATATCTTGAAAATGCCCAGCCTGTCTTTTTGCACTCTAAAGGAACTCGGTAGCTCCTTGTTAATAAAATCCTAGGTATCAGTACCCAACATCCTTTGGTATCCCTGTCCAATGTGACTTTTGATGCCTTAGTGATAATTATCACTATTATTTTCCTTTGTGGAAAGTAGAGAATACATATTTATGTGATCTATCTATCTTTCTATCTATATATATTACCTATTTAATCTATCTAAGATATTCTTTTCAGTGTTTGTATGGAGATGATGAATAAAATAAATCTCGATAGAATGCTAAGATATTCTCATTTGTGATCTTAAATAAAACATATTAAGAACAGACAGAAGCACATGTGCCTTTCTATAAATGTGCATTCACAAACAAGCTTGGCAAAGTTCATTCGGTTAAAACACTCATGATTTAACTTCGAGATACATAAGATTCATTTCATTGAATTCTTACCATATCATAACCAGTAATTTGTTTATTGCAATTTTCAGGGTAGTCCCAGTCACTTTTTCTTCTTCCATCAGTGCTATAGAAACAGATTCATTTCTTGTTCACAAGGATGAAAGTTATTGCATTAGTTCTTTTTTCCCATAGAAGGTGTTTTCATCACTATTGTAGTCACTCAACACTATATCCTGGAATCAGCACCTCAATGTTTCTCTGCTTGTGAATATAACCCAATCAGTATATCATGGCAGATGCTTTTCCTCAATATTTCTAGCATCATTCTCAAGAGTTAACATGTATGCATCCTATACTTTCAAGACTTCAAGAGTAAAGATCTTTAGATAAGTAATTTTACAGAAAAATTTATGATAAGAAATAAATAGATCAAATAGCATGCAATTAACTTTTGCATTTTGACATGGAAACAATGTGACATACAGGAAAATAGATAAGTAATTATGTACAATACTAATTGACAGACTCTAGATGCTGTAATGAGGATTTTACTTGTATTAAATGTAATATTTTAAATAATCTAAGATAAGTAATTTTTATTTCTACTTTACAATAAAGAAAACAACCCTCCAAGTAACTTTTCCACAAACTCAGAAGAAGTAAATGGTAAAACTAAGACTTGATCATTTTAATAAATTATGTTGACCTTTTACTTATAACAAAATAATTATGACAACATAGTGTTTAGGTTGATATTTTAGGCAAGCCAGTAGTAAAAATATTTTAGTCAAGAAATATTTTGGTGGTCTCCATTTCTAGAAGTTATTGATTTTACTAATAGAATATAAGCTTCTGCCAGTGAGAGGCAGAAGACCTACATCATCTATCTGTAAGACAAGCACATTCCTCAAAAACGGGAGAAAGTCTCTGAAAGTAGGGCACAGATTCCTTATCTATAAATTGTTTTATCCTTCTAGCATTTCAAAATAGAACAAAAAGTTTATGAAACCTATGAAATATCATCTTTTCTTTGTGATCAATTTGTTATTTTTATTGCACAGTTCTTGAATAAGGGACTTCTAAATGGCATACGGTTGCAAATAATAGGCAATTCACACCGTTCGCATGCCCTATTTTATTTACAAATGATTTACTGTGACTGTGGACATGTTCCTTTTTGTTCCTGATACTAGAAGTTGGGCATTATTTCCCAGTCTTTTTCTTTCACTGACTTTGGTCATTTTCGTAGTTAATGACATAGCATTAGTGCTTTTGCAGGATGTTGTCTCACTTCGCTTTTTTTCTCCCCTAAGAGGCTATAAGTGAAAGAAGAAAGGTGTCAGGGACTAGGAAAGAGCCCCTTTCTTGAAACTTAAAGCGTATTTAATGGCTTTCAGAAATAAAAATGTTCATTCATGAGTAACAAAAGAACGGGGTTTTCTCTTTCTACAGAAAAAAAAAAAATCCTTGAGTTGGAATACATAGACAGACAAAAGGCCAAAACAGGTATTCATTCAGCTAGCTATAGAAATCACATAAACTTTTCAACAAATGAAATGAAAAATATCGCCTGTTTTGTACATCCTGGAGAAGATTAAGAGAAAGGGCACTATTATCTTGGCAATAAAAGCTCCTCAGAGGTGCCAGGTAAGAAATCAATACAGGTTTTGTTTTTTTAAATAAACAACATTTGTTAACTAATTTATTAATTTTCCAATGAGTAGAATTATGAGTTTGGAAACACTTTTCTGTTATCTGGTAGAATCCTTTAAAAATTTTTTGAATGAATAGTATACTCAAATTCATACAGCTAGTTAAAATAGCAGAAACCACTTTTGGAAAACTAGATATTTTGCCACTTTTAAACTCTCCCTTTGCATTTAATATTGCTCTTGCCCACTGTTGCTAGCAGCAAAATCTCTTAGAAAGCCTCATGAGGATTATGTGCTTTCCTCAGGTACAACACGATAGAGAGAGTCTATGAAAAACTTTCTGTCTAGCAGTGGCCCAAGGACAAATGAAACTCTGGTCAAAATCATCAAGACAAATCTACAGGGACTCAGGGAAACAAATGAAATGATTCTTGTATTTAAATTAAGGTGTGCTACAGGATGGTAAAAATTTGGGCTTTTATTTCCTTCTTTGACTTATCTGATAGCTAAAATGTTATTTTTATAGTGAATGTACATTGCTTGTATAATAAAAAAAGTTTAAAAGAAAATAATTCCATATTTGTGCCACAATAATAATGAGTGCTACTGGAGTTTTATAGAGCAAAAAGTCGGAGTTCTCATAATGAGTTTTTCCTAAGAAGCCTATGAATCTCACTTCTAAGTCTTCAATTCTTTCGTAGCCACTGTTCTGCTGGCACTTGGAGCTAGGGAAAATGAACCAGGGCAGCTTCTAAACTAGTCAAAAAAAGAATGCTTTCTTGTTTCTCAAATCCATGCTCACAATATAGTTTCTAGTTAGAAGTTCAAGTCAGAGAATGATGTTCTCTAGAAACTTCAAAGACATGGCTAGTCTGTGCTACTTACTTATTTTGCATAATCTAGGACATTTTATATTTCTGAATTTCATGCCATTTATCTTATTGCATTCCAATTTTTATTTTCCTGTTTCCTCCACTTGATCATAAACTTTTGCAGGTTATAATTTACTTTTATATCCCCTATACTATCAAAACCTAGTAGAGTTAATAACTCAGACAAAATATATTATTGGTATTTGTTGAATTTGAAATAAGGGAAATTAGCAAGAAGAGTAGAATAAAGAAGAGAGAACAAGTCATTGTGAATTATGGATTACTTTTTAATGCAACTAAGAACATTAAAACTTCAAAAAAGGCATAAACATTTGTATTAGCACATTCTCATGCTGCTACAAAGAAATACCTGACCCTGGGTAATTTATAAAGGGAAGAGGTTTAATTGACTCACAGTTGCACATGGCTGGGAAGGCCTCCAGAAACTTACAATCATGGCAGAAAGGGAAGCAACATGTTCTTCTTCACATGGCTGCAGGAGAGAGAAGTGCCAAGAAAAGGATGAAAAGTCCCTTATAAAACCATCAGATTTCATAAGAACTTGCTTACTATCACAAGAACAGCATGGGTCATGACTCACTCAGCTCCCACCAGGTACCTCTAATGGTACATGGGGATAATGGTAAATACAATTCAAGATGAGATTTGGATAGGGACACAGAGCCAAACCATATCATTCCACCCATGGCCCCTACCAAATCTCACGTCCTCACATTTCAAAACACAATCATGCCTTTCCAACGTCTCCCTATGTCTTAGCTCATTCCAGCATTAACCAAAAAGCCAAAGTCCAAAGTCTCATGTGAGGCAAGGTAAGTCCCTTGTGCCTAGTCCCTTCAGCCTGTAAAATCAAAATCAAGTTAGCTACTTCTTAGATACAATGAGGACACAGGCATTGGGGAAATACACGCATTCCAAATAGGAGAAATTGGCCAAAACAAAGGTGCCATGGGCCCCATGCAAGTCTGAAATCCAATAGGGCAGTCATTAAACATTAAAGTTCCAAAATGTTCTCCTTTGACTCCATGTCTCACATCCAGGTCATGCTGATGCAAGAGGTGGGCTCCCACAGCCTTGGGCAGCACCTCCTCTGTGGCTTTGCAGGGTACAGCCCCCCTTCTGGCTGCCTTCACAGGCTGGCATTGAGTGTCTGTGGCTTTTCCAGGCATATATTGCAAGCTGTCAGTGGATCTATCATTCTTGGGTCTGGAGGATGGTGGTCCTCTTCTCACAGCTCCCCTAGGCAGTGCCACAGTGGGAACTCTGTGTGGGGTCTCCAACCCCATGTTTCCCTTCTTCACTGTCCTAGCAGAGTTTCTCCATGAGGGCTCCACCCCTGCAGCAGACTTCTGCCTGGACATCTAGGAGTTTTCCGTACACCATCTGAAATCTAGGAGGAGGTCCCCAAACTTCAATTCTTGACTTCTATGCACCTATATGCCCAACACAACATGGAAGCTGCCAAGCCTTGGGGCTTACCCCATCTGAAACAGTGGCCTGAGCTGTATGTGTGTCCCTTTCAGTCATGGCTGGAGCTGAAGCAGCTGGGGCACAGGGTATCATGTCTCAAGGATGCACAAAGCAGGGGGAACCTGGGCCCATCCATGAAACCATGTTTCCCTTCCAGGTCTCCAGGCCTATGATGGGAGGGGCTGCCATGAACGTCTCCAACATGCTCTGGAGACATTTTCCCCATTGTCTTGGTGATGAACATTTGCTCTTTGTTACTTATGCAAGTATCTGCAGCAGGCTTGAATTTCTCTGAGAAACTGGGTTTTTCTTTTCTATTTCATTGTCAGGCTGCAAATTTTTCAAACTTGTATGCTTTGCTTCCTCTTGAATGCTTTGCTGCTTAGAAATTTCTTCTGCCAAATACCCTAAATCATTTCTCTCAAGTTCAAACTTCCACAGATCTCTAGAGCAGGGCCAAAATACATCAGTTTCTTGCATAGCAAAAGTGACCTTTATTCCAGTTCCCAAAAAGTTCCTCATCTCCATCTAAGACCACCTCAGCCAGGACTTTCTTTTCCATATCACTATCTTCATTTTGTTCAAAGCCATTTATCAAGGCTCTAGGAAGTTCCAAACCTTTCCATATCTTCCTGTCTTCTGAGCCCTCCAAGTCTCTAGGAAGTTCCAAATTTTTCCACATTTTCCTGTCTTCTCCTGAGCCCTCCAAACTATTCCAACCTCTGTCTGTTATCCAGTTCCAAAGTCACTTCCACATTTTTGGGTATCTTTATAGCAGCATCCCACTCTCTGTGGTACCAATTTACTGTATTAGTACGTTCTCATGCTGCTATGAAGAAATACCTAAAACAAGGTAATTTATGAAGGAAAGAGGTTTAAGTGACTCACAGTTCCACATGGCTAGGAAGGCCTCAGGAAAGTTACAATCGTGGCAGAGGGGCACCAAACACATCCTTCTTCATAAGGTGTCAGGAGAGAAAAGTGCTGACCAAACGGGGAATTGCCTCTTATAAAACCATCAGATCTCATGGGAACTCACTCACTATCATGAGGACAGCATGGGGGTAACCACCCCCATGATTCAGTCACTCCCACTAGGTCCCTCCCATGACATGTGGGGATTATGGGAACTTCAATTCAAGATAAGATGTGGGTGGGGACACAGCCAAACCATATCAACTTTATAACAACTTAGAGTAATATTTTGAGAAACCTATCTTCGTACTGAAAAACACATAGACAAAACATAAATCCTGAACCCAACCTACCTGTAATTTTTGGCATGCTAGTGCAATGGTTATTTAAATCATTACAGTATTTTAATTTTAATTATTCTAACACTTTAAAATTACATAATTAAAACATTAATTTTAATAATTATTAAAAAGGACAATAAATTTTGTGTACAGATTCTAAGGCTTCTTGAAAGTATCATTTTCGTTTTATGGGTAGGAAACAATTTCACTAAACCTCACATTTCTTGATGCATGATACAAGGTGGCACAGCAATCCAGAGAGATCTCTCTATAGGGCATCATATCCTTCCCTAGAACGTTAATAAATTATTCAGTGTCCAACAACTTCATCATAAAGTTGGTTAAAAGTTATACCAGTATATAGATAGAGTCTATCGATATTTAACAATACAGCAATAAAGGGATGGTGTAGGAGAAGATAAATTTTTTCAGGGAAAAAAATTCCAATATTTCTTGCAATTGCTGGTTCTTGCATGTTACAATGCTTGCAGTTGTGTTATATTTAGCTTTAATTCCTCTCATTGCAACTTAAGCCTTTTCTTGTTTGCTCCTTGATGAAGATGGAAAACAGCTGTCTGCCAACAACCTTTTATTTACTTTGTCTTCCCTCAATACAACATAAAGTTCTTTGTTTCTTCTCATTATCTACTTTATCACATGAAAATGTAATAAGAAACATGGACTAGAAGTTGTATGGTCTTTTAATGTCTGCCATACATATGCATTTCTTTTCATTAAATACTTTAATAATTTAGATAGACTGTATTTAGATGACAGATTCATTGGGATAAAATGATGTAAATAAATAGTCACATCTTTGAATACTCTAACATACATTTTTTAATTTGCTATATTTTTTAAAACTATAATTCAATTGTAATTTGAGAAATGGTGAAAAGTCACTTCTGTGAGTTTTTATAGATCATTTGTTATATTTAAGCATCTTCTCATTGGTGAGAAATGGGGAGTATGAATTGAGAAATCTCTCCATTCTAGTAAAACTCCAGTGATTTTTAAGTCCACTAATTTATTAATCTGGCTCTCCCCAAATCTGATCAGAAATACTTACATTGAAAAATTTGTGAAATGAACAGAATTCTTTTTGTTTAGCAATTACTTTAAAATAATCTTTGAAAAATGACTAAACTTGCATTTCTGAAAATAAATAAAAAACCTACCCGATTAATGCACTACAGAATATGATTGTATTCATTTGAATATGAAAAACTGTTGTCCTGTCTCATCAGATGTGAAGCATTCTCTAGGGCTATTTTTCTAATGCTTCACCATCATTAACTCAAGCGTCATTGTCCTACACCTGGACTCTTTCACTAGTGTAGATACTAGCATTTACTAGGGGCCTCTAACCAGATGCAGCAAGTAGCAAAGATGTCACATGCCATGTGGGACTGTAATATAGTGCACCTGACAACTGGCAGCACCCTTGGAAATGAGGCTTAATGGTTAAATGAGTGCAATTAAGTGTGCTGGTACATCTTTGATATCCCATAGTATGAGAACGTTTAATGTGACTCATCAGCCCCATTCCAAGTTCCAGACACTTAAAAACTGAATGAGCATAAATAGCAAAAGCCACAGTAAATGAGTTGCACAAAGAATTTAGAAATGTGAAAAATGATAAGCAATTTTGGACTGCTGGTTTCTTTTCAGTAATACAGCTTAACATTATACAGTGTAGTGATGCTATACTCATTTCTAATTCCACACATTTAACTTTGCTCTATTACAAGTTCCTTGAAATGTTATCTCCCTTTGCTAGAGCAAACTAGTTGTAAACCATACTGTCTCAGGGAGGCCAGGGATGTCTTTTGATTCCACTGCCAAACTCAACACAACATTGCTAAATTAAGGTTAAGAAATAGTTCTGCATTGACCTATGTTGCAACTGCTACCCAACAGTCATTTTGAAACAATTAACAGTACAGAGAGTCAAAAGTCCAAGATTATAGAAATTGCCCATTTGGACAATCAAGACAAGAAAAGGTAGAACATCATTTTGTGCTTTTCTGATCAATTGTTGTCAGGAAAAAAAGAGGAAAATATAAACTTCCTCGACTCACAGTCAATAAAACCATAATTTTAACTTTTGCAGAAAAAAGTAGCATCTCAACTTTGTAAACAGAAAGAAAGATTTCAGACAGGAGGCCACATGAACAACCTTGAAGAGGTCTAAAGAAATGATTTAAGATCATCTGTGATAAAGACAGCAACTGGAGACAAAATAAAAGTGATTAACCAGCATGAGTTCAAGTCTTTCCATTACAGAACACAGAAATTATTCTCTTGCTCTAAAATTCTGCTGCATGCCAGGAAACATCTTTACTGGAAAAAGGTAAAGGAAAGCATGAGTGTCCACCATAAATCTCAATTTTAACAAAATTTAAAGCCCCAGCATGTGGCATACAATGAAATAATAAGAATGGGCCAAATATCCATGGCATATAATAGAAGAGACATTTTAGATTTGACTTGATTTTATCTGAAAGGCTACTTGCTTATAAAATTATATGCATTATTAAAGAAGCTAAAGTAAAAATGAATTTAAAGCCTAAGAAAAGAGATTACTACTATCCATTAGCTAGATGCCAAAGAAGTCTGACAAATTTAATTACAATATGCTTTTTATATATTGTCCCATGAGACTTCTATGGCATTTTACAGTGAGCCCCGCAAGGAAAATTAGCAATAAAGAAAAACTAAGAGAATACAATTGTATGCATCTCTGATATGTGGAAATAGAAACAGAGCATACTCAACAAGGTCTGTCAGATGCAAGTATGTATAATGCCTGCTGGAGCAGATGGCCAAATTGATGAGTATTTCCAATAGTTTACAGCCAGACATTAGGTCCAAAGTCAGTTCACTGGGAAAAAAATAAATACGCCAACCTGAGAAAGCTCAACTGAAAAGAAATGAATGCATCAAATTCTAACCATTGGTTAAGAGAGAGCCATTTTGGGGAAAACTTGAGCTTTCATATTTTTATTTCTGAAAATGTCAGAAAAATCAGATACACTATAAAAAGTATGATAAGTTAAAGTCATAGGTCTGGTATAAATTAATCAGTCCTACTTTCATGTATGAATTGGAATTAATTGGTTAACAAATAGAGAACTGTGTAAATTTCATATCCATATTATTGGGTGACACAGGTGACTTTTTTCTTGTTATATGTTAATTAATGAAATGGTTAACAGTCGGTGTATGGCATATGGTGCTTCTTTCACAGCACTGTGAGCCATGCCACAGAATGCTGCATCGCCCTTCGAAGAATTTTTTTCTTCTCCTTCTTCCCCATATGGTGTTCAATTCTAAAATAGATTTTTCTGCAGATACTTAGTGTCTCCATCCAATATTCCATAGTTGGGAATCAGGTAAGGCTGAAAGATGAAAGTAAGTTCATATAAACCTTCAGCTCCCAGTTGGTTCTATTGATGAGAAGTCTTATCTGTATGTATGTATTGCCACAGAATGCCTGACTTCTACAGAAACCAAGTGAAAATTGAGCTCAACCATTTGCCTGAATATATCTAACTCCCCTTGATAGCAGAAAATTAACATTAAAGTATTTTGGTCTTATCAAACCACTTAGTTGAAACCACTTACTTATTCAGAAGTTTGACCTCAGAAATGTAAGGAGCTGAACAGAAGCAGATCAAAGTTTGACATAGGGAATCTTGCCATGACTTTCAGTATATAATTAGATTGCAACCTCCAGGGCTCCGTGGTGGAGATTTATGAAACGGATTAAATGCTAGAGTGTCATTAGTGCTGACTGGCATCCTCAACTCAGTTCAGGCATGATGCTTTATTGAAGACATGTTTGATTAAAGACATTTGACAAAATTTTATAAGAAAATGTGTTTTCTCCATAAACATGAGGATGGAAAATTTTATTAGAAATATATTGTTATCCTCAATTCTAGAGATATAGAAAAGACCTTGCCTGGAAATTACCTACTGCTGAGGGCCTTAAGCTAATGACTATTCGGCAACGGTTTTTTTAAGGTTGTTTATTCCTCCAGTAGTTGTTTGTACCTCCTGAGAAATTTTCTGGACATTTTTTGCCCTGTTTAAGAAAAACAATAATAAAACTTTTTTTTTTGGAAAACAAAATAATGTAGGCTATATTTAAGAGTGAATTGAACTGGTCTTTATTTATATTTGCAGTAGATATTTCTGTCTTTCAATTGGGTCCAGAAGGTTTTCCTGACTCTCTAAATATTATGTTTTATCTCTCTTGGTAGCACTCAATAATTTATCCTCAACTTACTTATACCTACATGACAATTTGTACATAATTCTTCTCTAATATATTAAATTAGGATTATTTACTTACAATAGTTCTACTGTTTTCCCCAGTAGATTATGCATTATAAGAGGTCAGAAAACCATGTATTTACTTTTGTCTCTCCACTGCGTGAAACACAATCAGTGTTCAATAAATATTTTTGAACACATAAACATTATACATTACAGGTCTTTATGTTGGTGATAATATAGTGATAATGTAAAAGTTTTATAAATGTAAGTACCATTATGATAAATAAAAATATTTTGAGCTAAGATTACCTTATCTATTTTCTACCATTTATTTTTTATTATGACTACATATTAAAAGTTATAGGAATCTGTGAAATGGGAGGAAAAATAAATTACTCAGGGAATTTTACCCCCTGTGTCACAAAGCAGGAAATAAGAGTTTATAAATTTCCAAATGATCTTAATATGTGTACCTATAGATAGGAAATTTCAAATTGGAAAACTTTAAAAACTTTTAAAATAATATCCTATTGGTAACAATAGGATATTGTCACTAATTAGCATTGCCTTTAAAAAGGAAGACATATTATCTTCTCACTCATTGATATATTCATTCATTCGTTGTGTAAGGATGTGTGAAGAATACAAGATGAAATGAAATACACCTACTGTCCTCATCATGCCCAAAACTTAGCAGTTAAGCTAAACACTGAAGGTACTACAAAGGAAGTGCTAAGGAAGTTTAAAAAGGAAAGATAGAACAAGAGAATCTTCATAGAAGGTAGGAGAAGGATTTTGTATCCCTTTAGTGATCTCATTGCTTCTGGTGCAAACAGTGATATTGTTTAAAAGTACTTTTTTCTTGAGAGTTTTTAGCATGAAGGGCTGTTGAGTTTTGTCAAAGGCCTTTTCTGCATTTATTGAGATAATCATGTGGTTTTTGCCATTGGTTCTGTTTATGTGATGGATCACATTTATTGATTTGCATATGTTGAACTAGCTTTGCATCCCAGGGATGAAGCCTAGTTGATCGTGGTGGATAAGCTTTTTGATGTGCCACAAGATTCAGTTTGCTAGTATTTTATTGAGGATTTTCGCATTGAGGTTCATCAGGGATATTGGCCTGAAATTTTCTTTTTTTTGTTGTGACTCTGCCAGGTTTTGGTGTCAGGATGATGCTGGCCCCATAAAATGAGTTAGGGAGGAGTCTCTGTTTTTCTATCGCTTGGAATCATTTCAGAAGGAATGGTACCAGCTCCTCTTTGTACCTCTGGTAGAATTCATCTGTGAATCTGTCTGGTCCTGGACTTTTTTGGGGTGGTTAGCTATATTAATTGCTGCCTCAATTTCAGAACTTGTTATTGGTATATTCAGAGATTAGACTTCTTCTAGGCACTGATGGAATGTATCTCGAAATAATAAGAGCTATTTATGACAAACCCACAGCCAATATCATACTCGATGGGCAAAAACTGGAAGCATTCCCTTTGAAAGCTGGAACAAGACAAGAATACCCTCTCTCACCACTCCCATTCAACATAGTATTGGAAGTTCTGGCCACAGCAATCACGCAAGAGAAAGAAATAAAGAGTATTCAAGTAGGAAAAGAGGAAGTCAAATTGTCCCTGTTTGCAGATGACATGATTGTATATCTAGAAAACCCCATCATCTCAGCCCAAAATCTCCTTAAGCTGATAAGCAACTTCAGCAAAGTCTCAGGATACAAAATCAATGTGCAAAAATCACAAGCATTCTTATACACCAATAACAGACAAACAGAGAGCCAAATCATGAGTGAACTCCCATTCACAATTGCTTCAAAGAGAATAAAATACCTAGGAATCCAACTTACAAGGGATGTGAAGGGGACCTCTTCAGGAAGAACTACAAACCACTGCTCAAGGAAATAACAGAGGACACAAACAAATGGAAAAACATTTCTTACTCATGGATAGGAAGAATGAATATAATCAAAATGGCCATACTGCCCAAAGTAATTTATAGATTTAATGCTATCCCAATCAAGCTACCACTGACTTTCTTCATAGAATTGGAAAAAAATACTTTAAATTTCATACAGAACCAAAAAAGAACTCGCATAGCCAAGATAATCCTAAACAGAAAGAACAAAGCTGGGGGCATCACGTTATCTGACTTCAAACTATACTACAAGGCTATAGTAACCAAAACAGCATGGTACTGCTACCAAAACAGATATATAGACCAGTGGAACTGAACAGAGGCCTCAGAAATAATGTCACACATCTACATCCATCTGATCTTTGACAAACCTGACAAAAACAAGAAATGGGGAAAGGATTCCCTATTTAACAAATGGTGTTGGAAAAACTGGCTAGCCATATGTAGAAAGTTGAACCTGGATCTCTTCCTTACACCTTATATAAAATTAATACGAGATGGATTAAAGACTTAAACATAAGGCCTAAAACCATAAAAACCCTAGAAGAAAACCTAGGCAATACCATTCAGGACATTGGCATGGGCAAAGACTTCATGACTAAAACACCAAAAGCAATGGCAACAAAAGCCAAAATAGATCAATGGGATCTGATTAAACTAAAGAGTTTCTGCACTGCAAAAGAAACTATCATCAGAGTGAATAGGCAACCTACAGAATGGGAGAAAATTTTTGCAATCTATGCATCTGACAAAGGGCTAATGTCCAGAATCTACAAAGAACTTAAACAGATTTACAAAGGAAAAAAACGAACAGCCCCATCAAAAAGTGGGTGAAGGATATGAACAGACACCTCTCAACAGAAGACATATATGCATCCAACAAACATATGAAAAAAAGCTCATCATCACTGGTCATTAGAGAAATGCAAATGAAAACCACAATGAAACACCGTCTCACACCAGTTAGAATGGTGATCACTAAAAAGTCAGGAAACAACAGATGCTGGAGAGGATGTGGAGAAATAGGAATGCTTTTACACTGTTGTTGGGAGTGTAAATTAGTTCAACCATTGTGGAAGACAGTGTGGCGATTCCTCAAGGATCTAGAACTAGAAATACCATTTGACCCAGCAATCCCATTACTGGGTATATAGTAGAATGATTATAAATCATTCTACTATAAAGACACATGCACACGTACATTTATTGTGACACTGTTCACAACAGCAAAGACTTGGAACCAACCCAAATGCCCATCAGTGATAGACTGGATAAAGAAAATGTGGCACCTATACACCATAAAATACTATGCAGCCATAAAAAATGGGTTAATATCCTTTGCAGGATGTGGATAAAATTGGAGACCATCATTCTCAGCAAACTAACACAAGAACAGCAAACCAAACAATGCATGTTCTCACTCATAAGTGGGAGTTGAACACTGAGAACACAAGGACACAGTGAGGGGAACATCACACACCAGGGCCTGTTGGGGGGTGGGGTACTAGGGGAGGAATAGCATTAGGAGAAATACCTAATGTAGATGAAGGGTTCACGGGTGCAGCAAACCACCATGGCACATGTATACCTATGTAACAAACCTGCACGTTCTGCACATGTACCCGAGAACTTAAAATATAAAAAAGTACTTTTTGTTTTATTTTTGCTATGTTCTATACATTCTTTGAAAGGTCATTATAAAACAGAGTTAAAATACCAAGAGATTAAAATAATTTTAACTAGGTAACAGGCTAGACAAGTAATGACTCAGGTTATTTTAGGAAAAATATGATCAAGTTAATTAGGTCTTATAGGAAGTGATGAGTAGCTTATGCCACATCTGTGGATCTACATCAAGGAGAATGACTGACCTATATTGTAGAAGCCAGGAGAAGCAGATATGTCAAATTCTTCATTATTTAATAAAATTGAATATCAGAAACTTATTATTAAAAAGTAGCTTAGATAAGCATAAAGAGATTGTATTTTGGTGAATTAATTTGGGTTTTATCAGCAAATACTTTCCAAAACCAAACTTATCATGTGATGATAAGTCTTTGTGATAATATTCCAGGGTATTTAACAAATACCCTCATAAAACTGAACAAGAACTTTGTTTTCATTCAGGAATTTAGTCCACTATCTTCTGGAGTGATCTAAACTTATCATTGACCACTTATTTTTGTTTTTAGCCAAAATATCAATTGGTGTTTGTTTCTAACTCACTTTATTCCAGATTTATTTGACATAGTGAAAACAACTTCACTCAAAACAGAAATATTTATACTTGGAAAGTAAGAGCATCTGTGAAAGGAACAATAAGAGTAGAAAAATGGCCAGGCGTGGTGGCTCACGCCTGTAATCTCAGCACTTTGGGAGGCCGAGGCGGATAGATCACGAGGTCAGGAGATCGAGACCATCCTGGCCAACATGGTGAAACCCCGTCTCTACTAAAAGTACAAAAATTAGCCAGGTGTGGTGGTGGGTGCCTGTAGTCCCAGCTACTCGGGAGGCTGAAGCAGGGAAATCCCTTGACAGCGGGACGTGGAGGCTGCAGTGAGCTGAGATCTCGCCACTGCACTCCAGCCTGGGCGACAGAGTGAGACTCCGTCTCAACAAAAAAAAAGAAGAGCAGAAAAATTATGATGAAGTAAGATAAGGAAGGTAAACAAAACGCATGGATTCAAGAAGTCTTATGAAACAGCTACGATGTGGACTATGAATTGGCTTTTCAACTTTCTAGCAGCTAACCCAATAGAGATAGGTGAATTATTTACAAGATTCAAAGTGTACATAAGGCAAAAATAAATTATTGAAAAGTATCATTGGTAATCTTGATAATGAGATGAGAGACATATTTCTTCCCTCCATCCTGATGACTCTATGTGATATGATGAAGTCTGCTAAAACAATTCTATGGTAGACATAGTAATGTGTTTCATTAAAGTGCTATGCATTTTTCAATGTATACTGATTATATAATTCTAAAAGTACAGAAAAAGTGATTTGAACCTGGCATAAATCTTCCCAGTAACTTAGCATCATCCAATATTAAAATTAGATTATTTACAAAAATTGATATACTGTTCATCTTTCTGGCATATTCAATAATTATTAGTTCTTCCACTTGTACTTTCTGATAAGTATTAGGCATTAGAAAGTTTCAGGTTACACTGAGTGACAAGTCCCACAACAATTAAAATTCGACTGACCCTTGAACAACTTAGGGATTAGGGGAACAGTTGAAAATCCTGGTATAACTTTTAACTCCTCTAAAACTGAACTCTTAGATTACTGTTGAATGGAAGCCTCACTGAAGACATAAACATTCAATTAACACATATTTTGTATGTTATATGTATTATATACTGTATTTTTAAAAATAAAGATAGAGAAAATGTTATTAAGAAAATTATAAGGAAGACACACTATGTTTGTTATTCATTTTAAGTAGAAATGCATCATCATAAAGGTCTTCATTCTTGTCTTCACATTGAGTAGGCTGAGGAGAAGGACGAGGACAGGGTAGTCTTTCTGTCTCAGGAGGTGCAGAGGCAGGAGAAAATCATTGTATATGTGAATATGCACAGTTCAAACCTGTGTTTTTCAAGGGTCAACTGTAATTTGAAAATCCACCGAGTAAGAAGTAGATGCAAATCCAAGACCTCTATAGAGAAGCAGATAAAATAAATATCTATGAGTATGGTGTACATTTTCTCCCTCAGTGTAAGGTGTTCTCCAACACAGAGAGAAATGAGCAATCAAGGCTCCAAAATTCTCCACCAGAATATTTTTAATTTGGAAAAAATATCAAATGTGAATTATGAAGTTTTATTATAACTACAGTAATATCTTAATTAAATATAATATATATTTACATTTTTACTTATATTCTATATGTCAATCTTTGAATGCTACAATTTAGTTGTTAATCTTTGAAGATAATAGAGTTTTCAGGCTATCACCCTAATTAGTTATTTATCAAATAATTTCAGTTATGAGACATTTACCAAAGAGATGACTTTGGTTTATCTAGTTGTTTATTAAAATATTTTTATTTATATCAATAAAGGCATATCCTCTGAATATAAAATGCACACTACATCTAAACAAATTCAACATTAATTTAATGAATATTTATAGAATTATAATAATAGTCATATTAATACTTGCCATTTGCCATAGTTTTATAATATGCCAGATAGATCCTATTCTAGGCACTGTATAAGTATTACATCATTTAATCTTCATAAAGACTGGTGAAGTCATTTGGCCAACCTCACATAATTGCTAAGTGGCTGAGCCGGTATTTACACCTCGTCAGTTTAACTCCAGAGCATGTGTTCAGATCCAATTCAAACCACAGTATCAGATGTTGAAAATATCTTGATGAGCAGGAAAGGTATGATCTCTATTCTCACGTAACTATATGGGGGAGAAACTTGTATTTTAATGTAGCTGCAATGAAGATGTGTGGTGTGATGGAAATCCACAGTAGATGAATAAACTTATTCCAAAATTACAAAACAAAAACAACAAAGCAGACCTGAAAAAAATAGGTAGGAACTTGTCAGGAAAAGTTTGGAAAAAAATTAAAAGAATGTTTCAGAAAAATAAAACTACATTTGTAAAATCTTATGATTATATGAATTTATATATTCAGTAGTGTAGAGCTAACTTTGCTAGTCCTATATGTATATATAGGATAATAATCTCCATATTGATGGAATTAAAAGATTTATCATCTCATCTTTTACTTAGTAATTCTTCTAGATATAGAGTTTGTCAGTAGAGTTTTAAAATTATATAACTTTTGCTTAAAAATATCATTGTAGATTATATAGCAGTATAAATTATTTTGTAGCAAGATTGATTAATTCTGATATTAACATTATTAGCATCACAATCCTTAAATGACGAAGAACCCACTGCTAAATGCCTGGCATATTTACTTCAGCAGATAATATGTAAAGTAAGTTTTGGCTTACCTACTACTATTACTTAATATAGTTGCAGGACCCAGACTGAAAACGTATGCAATAAGATCCCATTTTTATGAGGGATTCTTATGCAATAAGATCCTATTCTAAGAATAGAATCCTATTCTAAGATAGGATCTTATTTTCAACCCAACTTGAACACAAAAAATGAGAATTAGTCTCCAAAACAACTAACCTTGTCCACTTGGGAGAACATTTTATGCAACACAGTGCAAGCTGCACAGTTATAAAACCAGAGGTGTCATTTCTACAACTTGAATTTTGAAAGTAAAGGGCACTTTAAAGACACACTCAGCTCCCTTGTCTGCCATAAGCTGGATAGCTCAGCAGTACAGAATCAATGACCTGCACTAATACCACAAATCACTGGCATGGGAAGAAAAATACAAACTGGAAGCCTCAAGGTTCTTCAGCTATAAACAATAGCACTGATATGGAAGAAAAAGAGCTACAAAAAGTAATGATTTTAAACATATTTTTCTGGCTTCACAAAATGTTTATCTATATTTTAGATTCCGAGCTAATATATGGGTGAATAAAATGACTCAATCTTTTCTCATGTTAGCATTTAGCAATATCTACTCACAAATGTTTTGCATTTTCTAAGAAACTCATTGTTTTAAAGTAAAACAAACATCTTTTTTCTATGTGTCTTCTACTCACAAATGCAGGATATATGATTTTACTTATAATGTGAATCAAATACATTACACAATCTCATTCCAAATAAAAGTTTATATTTTCTAAATGAATTTTAGATTTCATTTGGTGAATTTAAACTTTATATCAGATTTTTGAAAGTAATACTCTCTATGCTCTCATTTTTCATAACTATCAAACACAAAAATATAATATTTATATAAATATGGTCAGTTTTGTGTTGCAAGATGCATTGCTATTTTATGAATTTTAAGAAACATGCTTTATTTTTCAGCGTGTAAGACTTGGATGCCTTCTCTTCTGACTGTCCTTCTCAACCCTCTGCTTCACTTGACATTATGCATATAGGGGTTACCCTTGATGATTAGTTAACGAAAGATATTTAGCAATACTAAAGCCACACTGGGGGGGGGGGAAACAGGAAAATGCAACATAAATCTCCAAGTAATTCCAAGGCTTAAATTTTGTCCATTGTGGCTATTCCATCAATCCTAACTCCTCAATTGTTAAGACTTCTGTTTACATTTTTCAGAATGGGCAAAACCATGTTTTAAAGAGGGCCTAATTGTGGAAGAATTCTTTTCCCCTAGAAAGTACCATAACAAAGATTTTTTTTTGAAGGATAAAATTGTAATATCATGAGTTATAAGAGGAAACGCAAACACATGCTATCATCCAGTGAAGCTCAATTCAATCATCTACAGTGTTCATGCATCAAATCCTCTGAGAAGATAGTGCTCTACTTGCAAGGCTGAGGTGAGAGGATCATTTGAACCCAGGAACTTGAGGCTGCCATGAGCTTTGATCATGCCTTTGTGCTTCAGCCTGGATGACAGAGCGAAAACAAAAGATAGTGGCCATCAGAATTGTCAACAAAGATAGAAATGTGTGCTGATTGATTGACAGTTGTGATAAATGCAAAGTATAATGTTGGAGATATTGAACTAAATTTCTTGAGTAATTTATCAATACATTGAATGAACCATAGTTATTTCAACTCTGTTCCAAAAAATCTGTCAAAAAAGATGTTTCAGAAATACTTCATGTAAAAGGTTATTTTAACGCTGTTTTTTTTTGTAATAACAGAAATGTTTCTTTAAAAACCTAAATATAAAAAATGAACACATTGTTATAGTTGTGTGATAGATTGAGCAACTATGAAACTCTGAAAAAAGGAAAGGATTTATGAAAGAATTTAAGGGAAATAATTGAAAACCATGATCTTATAGCCATGATAATTGCAACTATGAAAGTTTTATATATAAGTATATTTTAAATTTATATATTATATATATAGAGAGAGAGAGAGGAGAGAGAGAGATGTAGAAATATCAGAATAGGCCATAGATATATGTAAATTGTGGGGTTGGTTGTAATTCTTATTTAGTATTGAAATATTTATGAAGTATTTATTTAGTATTTTATTGGGAACTTTAAAAATATACAAGTAATTCAGAATTGTCAAATATTAAAATAGATTTCCTGATCCCAATTTGTGAATGTTCTTCATAATTTGGCATATGATTAACATAAAATATTTTCCTTTTAGCTTAAATTGATTTTATTCTCTAAATATATATGTAAATATATATTTATAAATTAATATAAGATTTCATGCTTTCCTTGCTAGATTGTAAGTCCCAAAAGGCGAGATATTTTGTCTGTTATGTTCATTGATCTATCAAAAGCATCCAGAATAGTTTCTGGCACTTTGTAAATTTTAGTAAATATTGGTTTGATCAATGAATGAATCATTCCAAGTAGTTTTGAATATATCTGTCAGAATTTATATGTTCACCTGTCCTCAAGTGAAAACGCCATTCTCAGGTTAAAATTCCACTCCCCATCCTTTTCTTGAATGAATAGTTGGGATGTTATTGTATTGTGTGAAAAGGAATAACCATATGGATACAATTGGATTCTTTGGCAAAACAGATAGAAAATACTGTACTGATAGCATTTTCATGGCAAGTAGAAGTTTATAAACCGTGTATCATATAAACAGCACATGATCCATTGTATTTCCCAATGTTTAAGTAGGTACATGACTGATATCAAGTCTTAGAGGAGAAACCTCCAAAAAAATGACTGGAGTCAGGCAGAATTTCTTGTCCTCTGAACAATTACAAAAGAGGACAAATAAAGTGCATTCCTAGACAGAATAAAAAATGATTATTTAATCTTGTCTCCCAGCTAATTTTGTTATATGGTGCTTTTACGCTAATAGTAGGAAAATATTTTATCAGAAAACCCAAGAATAAAGTTAGGCTTGTGAGTAATGCTAGTCTACCTAAAGCTGTCTCAGAAATCCTATTATCTACCTGCCTTGGACCACTTGTCAGTAGGCAATAAAGAATTCAACCTGGTATATCCCGGATATACTGCAACCAAGATTATCATGGGACAATTTCTCTGCCACAATATATACAGATGCTTCTCTGGTTCATTAATTTTACACTGCCTTTCATACATATTTGCTCAATGTCACAATATAATTATAGGTTGTGATATTTTATAATCTGTATAGGTTGAATTAAGTCTTCAAAAAAGTCTTAATCCCCACACCTTATTTAGAAATAAAGTTTTTGCAGTTATAATTAGTTATGATGAGTTTCATACTAGAGTAGGATGGGCTCTTAATACTATAAGACTAGTTTCCTTATAAGAAGATGATGTAAAGACATGAGGGAAGAATGCCAAATGAAGACAGAGGGAGAGATTGGATTTAAGCTGCCACCAGCCAAAGAACGCCTGGAGCTATCAGAAAGAGACAAAGGAGGATCTTCCCTAGAGGCTTCTGAGAAAGTATGGACCTGCTGATATCTTAATTTCAGCCTTCTAGCCTTTAGAACTGTCAGATAATACATTTCTGTTGTTTTAAGTCATTAGTATGTGTTACTTTCTTATGGCAGTCCTAGGAAATAAAGAAGCTCTAATAAACTAAGTATGACATTGGATAACGCCATGTAAAGAACACTGGACTTGGAGACATGGATTTCAATCTTGGCTCTACTGCACTATGTGGTTTGTGATCTTTGAAGCATACTAAACTGAAAGGTATTAACCTGTCAATGAAAATATTGTGAACATCATTGTAATACCTTTCTTTGGTCTTCACTGAGCTACCGTGCACTGAAAACACTATTGTAAGAGCTAAAAAATAACATCTTTCCTTAAATTCCCATTGTGTTTATAAAATACACCAAGTACTACAAAATTATACAAAAATAATGTACACTGATCTCAGAAAATTAAAATGTTCTGAAAGAAGGGTAACATTCAAATGCTTAATGCTAACTCTAAATTTTCCCATTCCTGCTAGTTCAAAGAAAACCAACCAACAGTATCTCTTGAATGTAGATATGCACGAAGAACAAACAAGTTACACATGGATTAGAATAGCAGGTGAGGCCGGGCGCGGTGGCTCACTCCTGTAATCCCAGCACTTTGGGAGGCCAAGGTGGGCGGATCACGAGGTCAGGAAATCAAGACCATCCTGGCTAACCGGTGAAACCCCGTCTTTACTAAAAATACAAAAAATTAGCCGGGTGTGGTGGCGGGCGCCTGTAGTCCCAGCTACTCGGGAGGCTGAGGCTGGAAAATGGCGTGAACCCGGGAGGCGGAGCTTGCAGTGAGCCAAGATCTCGCCACTGCACTCCAGCCTGGGCGACAGAGCGAGACTCCTTCTCAAAAAAAAAAAAAAAAAAAAAGAATAGCAGGTGAAATCCGAGTAGTAATACAAGAAAACATCAGGCATTTTCTAAGTAATATAGCACAGAGATTCCATAGAAATGAAGAAAGTATTTAATGAACTAGGGAAGACTAGCAATCCCATAAGGAAGCCACAGTCACTGCCCTGAGACCATCAGTTACCACACAAACGTATTGACGCTAAGTTTTAAAAAGTCAATAAATAAAACGCAGGTTCTTTGTACCCATGCTCCAGAGTTTCCTTACAAATTTGACATTAGGGGTCTTTTTGACAGCCCTTTACTACTTGATGCAAGTGTATTGACAGCCTATATTAATTTAAGGGATAGCACACAAGAGCAATATATGGACTAACCACAGAAAAAGTTAAGTATTTTGACAGCTTCAACCCAGTGTCTGAAAGTGGAAATTGAGATAATTATGTTGACCTTTCTCTTGGAGAATCTGGAGGGAAATGAGATTTTTTTTTGAAATCTATATAAATCTATCTAAAATACAAGCAAAAACATTCTAAATTTTTAATAGAGTTAATTCTGAGCAATTTTGGATTCACACAAAAATTGAGCAGAAGGTAAAGTGATCTGCTGTATACTTGCTGTTCCCACACGTGCATAGCCTCCCCAATGGTCAACATTTCCCACCATGGTGGTACATTTGCTACAGTTGAACCTACATTGTCACATCATTATCACCCAGAGTTAAAAGTTTAAACTACAGTTCATTGTTGGTGTTGTACATGTTATAGGTTTAAATAAATTTATAATTACATGTATCCATCATTACAGTATCATAGAGTAGTTTCACTGCCCTAAAAAATCCTGTGTGCTCTGCCTTTTCATCCCTCCCTCCTTTCCAAACCCTGGCAACCATTGATCTTTATCTTTTTACTTTCCCCATACTTTTGCCTCTACTAGAATTTTACATGGTTGTAATTATACAGTGTATAGCCCCTTCAAATTGGTTTCTTTCACTTAGTAATATGCATGTAAGTTTTTTCATGTCATTCATAGCTTGATAGATCATTTCTTTTCATTGCTACATAATATTTATTGTCCAGATGTACCAGTTTATTTATTCATTCACCTACTGAAAGACATCTCAGTGGCTTTCAAATCTTGGCAATTATGAATAAAGAAACATTTGTGTGTGAGTTTTCGTGTGAACAATAAGTTTTCAAATCATTTGAGTAAATACTGAGGAGCACAATAGCTGAAACATACAATAACAGAGTATATTTAGATTTATAAAAAACCACTAAATTGTCTTCCTAAGTGGCTGTACCATTTTGCATTCTGACTTGAAATGATTGAGAGTACCTGTTGCTCCATATTACCATCTGCATTTGGTGTTTTCAGTGTTCTGGATTTTAATCCTTCTGATATATGTCTAGTGGTGTCTCATTGTCATTTTTATGTGTATTTCCCATATGACATATGATGCCAAGCATGTCTTCATATGTTTATTTGCCATCTTTAGATCTACTTTGTTGAGGTGTATGTTCAGGTTTTTGGTCCATTTTTTTTTTGTCAGCATGTTTGTTTTCTTATTATTGAGTTTTAAGTGTTCATTGTATATTTTGGATAACAGCTCTTTATCAAAAATGTATTTTTCAAGTATTCTCTCCCAATCTGTGGCAGTTTTTTCATTCTCTTTACAATGTTTTCCACAGAGCAGAAATTTTAAATTTTAATGAAGAAGTTCATTTTTTTTCTTTTGTGAATCATGCCTTTGGTGTTGTATATAAAAGGCATCACCATAACCAAGATCATCTAGATTTTTTTTCCTTTGTTATCTTCTAGGAGTTTTGTCATTTTGCATTTTATATTTAGGTCTTTGATCCATTTTAAGTTAACTTTTGAGAATGGGGAAAGGTCTGTGTCTAGTTTCTTTTTTTTTCTTTACTTTTTTTTTTTTTTTTTTGCCCATGTATATCCTGCTGTTCCAGCATCATTCATTAAAAAGACTACTTTTCCTCTATTGTATTGCCTTTGCTCCTTCATCAAAGATCAGTCTATTATAATTATGTGGGTCTACATCTGACCTCTCTATTCTGTTCTGTTAATCTATTTGTCTATTCTTTCTCCAATGCACACTATCTTGATTACTGTAGCATAGTGAGTTTTGAAGTAACATAGTATCAGTCGGCCAACTTTGTTCTTTTTAAATATCATGCTGTCTATTCTGGATCTTTTGCCTCATCATGTAAATATTAGAAGCAGTTTGCCAATATCTATAAAATATCTTGGTGGGATTTTAAATAAGATTGCATGAAATCTAGAGATCTGAGCAAAACTGATATTGTGACAATATTGACTCTTCCTGTACATAAACAAGGAACATCTCTGCATTTATTTAGTTTATTTGATTTGTATCGTCAGAGTTTTGTGGTTTTCCTTGTATAGATTTTGTACATATTTTATTAGTTTTATACTTAAATATTTCACTTTTTTGTACTGATATAAATAGTATTGTGTTCTTTATGTTTCTGATTTTGATTTACTTAATTTTTTAATAAAAATTGCATATATTTAGGGAGAACATTTTGATGTTTTGAATATATACACACATAGTGACATGATTACTTAGTGAAGCTAACAAGCATATTCATCTCTTCACAATTACCTTTTATGTGTGTGTGCTAACAGCACTTGAGATCTAATCTGTTGGCAAATTTTAATTATACAGTACAGTATTATTAACTACAGTCTCATGGTATACATTAGACCTCTAGAACTTCCTCATCCTCCACAACTAAAACTTTACACCCTTTGATCAAATAGTGTAGTGTTGATAAAATGGCATTGTGTTTCTAATTTAAATGCTACTTGTTTATTTTTGGTATACTGGAAAGTGATTGACTTTTGTACATTAACCTTGTACCCTTCAACATTGGTATGATATTTTATTAGTTCCAGGAGATTTTTGGTCACTTCTTTCCAATTTTTGACATTGACCACCATTTGTCTTCTGCAATCAAAGACAGTTTTATTTCTTTCTTCTCAATCTGTACACTTTTATATCATATTCTTGTCTTATTGCATTAGCTAGGGCTTCTAGTACAATACTGAAAAGCAGTAGTGAGAGAGGGCATACTAGCTTTCTTTTTATCTTGATGGAAAAGCTTCAAATTTCTCACTACTGTATTAAATATGATGTTAACCGTTTTTGTGTAGATACTTTTCCTCAAGTTGAGGAAGTTTTCTAATTCTAGATTAATGAGTTTTTATTATGAGTCATTGTTACATTTTTTTCAAGTGCTTTTTTCTGCACCTATTGATGTATTGATTTTCCTTCTTTATCTTGTTGATCTGATGGATTATATTAATTAATTTTCAAATGTGGAACCGAATTTTGCTTCCTGAGACAAATTGCACTTGATTATGGTGCATAATTCTTTTTATACATTGGTAAATATGGTTTGCCAATATTTTATTGTGAATTTTTGCATCTATGTTCACGAGTGATATTGGTCTGTAGTTATCCTACTTTTGTCATTTCTTTCTCTATTGATGGTATGAAGGTAATGCTCACCTCATAGGATGAATTAGAAAATAGTCTCTCTGCATCTATATTCCAAAAAATACTGAAGTGAATTGACATAATTTCCTATTTAAATGTTAGGTAGAATTCACCTGTGAACTCATGTGGGCCTGGTGCTTTTTGTTTTGGAAAGCTATTAATGATTGATTCAATTTCTTTAGTAGAAATACACTTATTCCAATTATCTTTTTTTTTTCTTGTGTGAGTTTTGGTAGATTGTGTCTTTCAAGGAATTGATCCATTTTATTAGGTCATCAAATGTATGGGCATACTGTTTTTCATAATGCCCTTTTATTATACTTTTAATGTTCATGAAATTTGTAGAGATGTCTGACTTCTCTTTTATTTATGGTATTAGTAATTTGTGTCCTCTCTCTCTCTCTCTCTCTTTTTAAATTAGCCTGGAAAGGGGCTAATCAATTTTACCAAAGAACCAGCTTTCATAAATTTCAATGATTTCTGCTCCAACTTTTATTATTTCTTTTTTTCTGCTTACTTTGGCTTAATTAGCTCTTCATACTCTAGTTTCCTAAGGTATCAATTTACAGAACTAATTTTAGATTTTGCTTCTTTTCTAAAATAGGCCTTCAGAGATATAAATTTCCCTGTAAGCACAGCTTTTGCTACATCTCACATATTTTAATAAGGCATGCGTTTATTTTCACTTAGTTCATGAGAAATGAATTTTCTTGAAATTTCTTCTTTTAACTGTTATTTAGAAGCATTTATTCTCCACTTATTTTGGGGATTGCTAGTTATCTTTCTGTTTTTGATTTCCAATTTAATTCCATTGCAGTCTGATAGCAGAGTTTGCTATCAGTTTGATTTCTATTATTTTAAATCTGTAAAGTGTGTTTTAAGGCCCAGAATGTGTTCTATCTTATGAATATTCCAGGTGAGCTTAAGAATGTTCATTCTGCATTGTTCCATGGAGTAGTCTATGGTTATGGTGTGTTCATCTATCTTTTTGTTGAATTTATGCCTACTGAATTTCTCTATTTCTGATACAGTGGTGTTGAAGTCTCCAACTGTAATAGTAGATCAACCTATCAACATGTTTCTATCAGTTTTGGCCTCACGTATTTTGTATTTTGATTGTTTAATTTGTTGGTGGTAGTAATATTTGTGTGTGTGTGTGTGTGTGTGTGTGTGTGTGTGTGTGTGTGTGTGTGTGACAGGTTCTCACTCTGTCACCCAGGCTGGAGTACAGTGGCATGGTCATGGCTCACTGCAGCCTTGATCTCCTGGGCTCAAGCAATTCTCTTGCCCTGGCCTCCCAGAGTGCTGGGATTACAAGTGTGAGCTACCATGCCCAGCCAGTTTTTGCCCCATGTATTTTGATGATCTGTTGTTCAATTTTTATGAATCTGAAAATTTCACTTGGTTTTTCCAAAATTTCTAGAATTGTAACAATGGTGATATATCTGGAAAGTATAATTTTTTTGAATTGCAATTCCTATCTTTACTCCTTTTCTACAATTTTGTTGTTTCAAAACCCTATACTATTTTTTTTTTTTTTTGAGAAAGAGTCTCGCTTTGTCACCCAGGCTGGAGTGGAGTGGCATGATCTTGGTTCACTGCAACCTCTGCCTCCTGGGTTTGAGCAATTCTCCTGCCTCAGCCTCCTGAGTAGCTTGGATTACAGGCACTCGTCACCATGCCTGTCTAATTTTTGTATTTTTTAGTAGAGATGGGGTTTCCCTACTATGTTAGCCAGGCTGGTCTCGAACTTCTGACCTGAAGTGATCCACCTGCCTCAGCCTCCCAAAATGCTAGGATTACAGGCATGAGCCACCGAAACTGGCCCCATTCTTGTGAGTTTATTTTAATTATCAGGGCTGATAAACTGCTAACAATTACAATTAAGTTATAGCAGAAAGGGTATGTGAGATTGTGAGGTGCGTGTTTGTGTTTGTGTGTGAGTGTGTGATATTGTCACATGATATTCTGGTGACTTTTCTGATCTGATCACAATACTTGTGGTTTACACATCATTATAAAAGTACAGTAAATTTTAACTGCATGTTCTCACACTGCCAATAAAGACATACCCAAGACTGGTTAATTCGTAAAGGTATGTGGTTTCATTGACTCACAGTTCTGCAGGGCTCGAGAGGCCTCAGGAAACTTACAATCAAGGCAGAAGGGGAAGCAAACACGTCCTTCACATGGAGGCAAGAAGGAGAAGAATGAGTGCCCAGTGAAGAGGGAAGCCCCTTATAAAACCGTCATATCTCCTGAGAACTAACTCACTGTCACAAAAACAGGATGGGGGAAACTCACTCCCATGATTCAATCACCTCTTACGGGGTCCCTCCCATGACATGTGGGGATCATATGAACTACAATTCTAGATGAGATTTGGGTGGGGACACAGCCAAACCATATCACACATCATTACAAATATATGGTAAATGTTAACTGCACTAGCTTCTTTTTGTAAGAAGAGAGTATGTAAGTATTCTAGGATAGGGCCTTGGACATAAAGTGTATTTAGTTTGATACAATTCTTATCATTTGTGTTTTCTGCAGACATCTCTGATTTTTATGGCAGTACAAATATATCATATTCAATTAAATTTCGAGGAACAGGTATATGTTTTACAGAGAGAAAAAGAAATAGCTGAATTAAGTCTTCACACCTAAGTTTTGTATTGAAATAGTAATTGACCTTCCTTTTTCTGGCTTCCTGCCTGAAGCATTTGTTTAGTTTACAGCCTGTGACATTCTAATAATGTGAAAATTCTTCAAGAAAAGGCTAACAAATGATTTTACAATAATAGTAAGAAATAATAGTTATGCCTAGCTAAGCTTGTTTCTCAAAAATCTACTTTCATATTGGGTTTTCTAGGAATCAACATCCCACCTTACACACATGTATACAAGTATATATGGTCATTCCTTCATATCTGATGAATTTATTTTTCTTAAAATTGAGGCAAATTAGGTTCAGATATGTAAACTATGATTATAATTTTTTAGTTCAAATGTTCAACACTACAATGCCTAAAAACAGTGTTGATATGAAATTTACCTGGTATCCACACTTTGTATCCAATCTTTTAACATATAAATTATTTGATTTCCCCTTAAACATTTTTGCATGTCTCTCTCACACACACACACACACACACACACACACACACACACACACAGAGTTTATTTCTGATGTAATCTACTTCCATATAGAGATTTACTAAAGACTTAAAATTTCTTGAAATGACTTAATGTCCCAATAATGGAGGTCTATGTTGTAAATTCACTTTAGGAAAAGGAACACTGCAAAATATATTTCAGAATTAGAAGGAAATTTTGTATGAATGATAATCTTTTGAAAAACTATGCTATTGAGTAGAGACAAAGAAGGTAGACGTAGGTAAAAAAAAAGAGAGACTAAAAAGAGAGAAGGAAAGACAATATGTGGCAAAAAAGAAATTATTTCACCTTACAGCATTCTAATATTTTTGCACTAAAAAGCATATCTCATGATGTCATGAAATATTCATTTACCACTGTTTTGTCACTGTCACATGTCTGACTCCTTTCCAGTTCTCTCTGCTGTGTCTGAGGTGCTCTGAGGATGATCTATGTGTCTTTTTCTATGAGTCAGCTTGAATCAGGCTATTGGGAAAGATACCTGATAATACCATTTTCTTTAGAGGACAGAATAGAACAAAGTACTTTCTCTAGAAATACATAAAAGTATTTGCTAGGGTTGTTTTACGCTGTTGATCACATGGCCACCAATATATTGTTATGTCCTTCATGAGATCTGGCAAAAACTCACCTCACACATGGTACTGCTAAATGTGGTGGCTCCTATGCATAGATTTTCTAGATGCCATTCTAGATCAAGATGCCTTGGCAGTCTTTTGTATACTTTCCCTTGTTTTCTGTGTGTGGGCCTCAAGTTTTGTACTTTTTCTATAGCCATGAAGACTGATGATGCTATTTTTTTCTTCTGTTTATATAGTGCTTACACACAGAGGGCTGTTAGTAAAACTCTTCTTCTCTCTGCAGGAGCAACTCCCCTCTGCAATCTCCTTTTTTATCACTGTCCTTGAGAAATAACAATTAGCTGTCACCCCTCATATGGGAGAGGTGTTGAGGGGTGGTGCGGAGGGTCTCCTCTCATTCTCTGGAAATGTTTGTTTCCTTTCAGGGTTTCCCAGATCATGTTTATGTATTTTTCTCTTCTTTGATCTTTTCTTTTTTTTTTTTTTTTTGAGTTCTTGGCCTCCTTGCTGTTTTCATTTTTATCCATTTTGTCTCCTAGTTTCTCTTCTCCATTAGTAACTTTTATTTCATAAGCCTATTTCGCTTACCTTTTTCACATCTTGACATGCGAGTTTCTAATCACAGACACCCTATTTTGTCGCTTCACTCTGTAGGCTTCCACTTGTTGGTAAAATTTTGATAATTTTTAAGTGTTTTTAAGCCAATATGTCTGCTTCTGTGCTGCATATATTCTGTACCCAGGATCCCTGTTTCTCATGATTATGTATTGCAATTTTTGAGGGCAAAATGTGTGAAGCTTTTGCAGAGGCTCAAAATGTTAGACATGGCTTTTTCTTCCAAGAGAGTGAATGATAATAACTGTTTATCTCTCAGAGAACTAAAATTTGGAACTAAGGAGGGAGTTTGTTTCTCATGAATAATTTAAGCCCAAAAGGAAAAAGAGAACAAGCGTAACACCTCACTCTCAAGAAAAAATTAACAGTTTGGAAAAAGCTAAAGACTCAAGTTCACCCAAGGCATAGTGTCTATTGCCAAACAACCTAATTGGCTATAGTTTTCATACACACACACTGTCTCACATACATACAAACACACACACACACACACACACACACACATTTCAGCATTGAGAAATAGAAGACAAAGAAATATTGACTAAAGAGGAGTACATTAGTACAGAGGAAGAGATAGTTCTTATGAAAAACTTAAGGCTTACAAACCACTTATAGCCCTTTAGCCTTCTTTTGTAATCTGTGTATGACTTTATTAGATTTTTCCATCCAAATTAATAGATAACCTGCACACTAATATTAGTATAAACTCCCCCAACAATTACTAGCTACTATTCTTTAAAAGATGTTTTAAGTGGGTGAGATAGAAAAGTTATAAGGTAAAATTCAGGTTCTAATCAGGTAAAGTCATTTTCATTTAAATTCTATTTATTCACTGTAAGTGTGAAGTACTCTCACAGAAGTGTGGTGTATCCAGTTTTAGACTCAGGTACTTAGAGGACATATACCTAGATGACTGAGAGCAAATATACCTTCTTATTAATTATGGGTTATTTGGGCTCATGGATGTTGATGTATGACATTTATTCTGTATTTAAACAAAAAGTCATTTCATGCATTTATTTTTAATGTAGTTAATTGTTCCCTACTCTGAGCTACTATAGGTTTAATAATAAGTAAGATATAAAAAGACTTTTTAATTTTTTTAAATCCATATTTTCTACATTTTAAAATCTCTGAAACTGGAATGTATTTTTATTACTGTAATGCAGGCCAATATATTTAGCATTTATATTTTCTTCTAAGTATTTATAGGAATAATATTTACAGGAATAATAAATGATTTAAAAGTCAAATAAATCCAAAAAAGATCTTTCAAAAGATATAAAACAAAATATGAAATATTTTACTGATATGAAAACATTCTATAAAGTTTAACTGGAAGCATTTTAAAAAATATCTTAGAGTTTTTAGACATGAAGTCCTTGCCCATGCCTATATCCTGAATGGTTATTGCCTAGGTTTTCTTCTAGGGTTTTTATGGTTTTAGGTCTAACATTTAAGTCTTTAATCCATCTTGAATTAATTTTTGTATAAGGTGTAAGGAAGGGATCCAGGTTCAGCTTTCTACATATGGGTAGCCAGTTTTCCCAGCACCATTTATTAAATAGGGAATCCTTTCCCCATTGCTTGTTTTTGTCAGGTTTGTCAAAGATCACATGGTTGTAGATGTGTGGTATTATTTCTGAGGCCTCTGTTCTGTTCCATTGGTATATATCTCTGTTTTGGTACCAGTACCATGCTGTTTTGGTTACTGTAGCCTTGTAGTATAGTTTGAAGTCAGGTCGTGTGATGCCTCCAGCTTTGTTCTTTTGGCTTAGGATTGTCTTGGCAATGTGGGCTCTTTTTTTGGTTCCATATGAACTTTAAAGTAGTTTTTTCCAATTCTGTGAAGAAAGTCATTGGTGGCTTGATTGGGATGGCATTGAATCTATAAATTACCTTGGGCAGTATGGCCATTTTCATGATATTGATTCTTCCTATCCATAAGCATGGAATGTTCTAATTAAACTAAAGAGCTTCTGCACAGCAAAAGAAACTACCATCAGAGTGAACAGGCAATCTACAGAATGGAAGAAAAGTTTTGCAATCTACTCATCTGACAAAGGGCTAATATCCAGAATCTACAAATAACTTAAACAAATGTAGAAGAAAAAATCAAACAACCCCATCAAAAAGTAGGCAAAGGATATGAACAGACACTTGTCAAAAGAAGACATTATGCAGCCAACAGACACATGAAAAAATGCTCATCATCACTGGCCATCAGAGAAACGCAAATCAAAACCACAATGAGATACCATCTCACACCAGTTAGAATGGCGATCATTAAAAAGTCAGGAAACAACAGGTGCCAGAGAGGATGTGGAGAAATAGGAACACTTTTGCACTGTTGGTGGGACTGTAAACTATTTCAACCATTGTGGAAGACAGTGTGGCGATTCCTCAAGGATTTAGAACTAGAAATACCATTTGACCCAGCCATCCCATTACTCGGTATATACCCAAAGGATTATAAATCATGCTGCTATAAAGACACATGCACACGTATGTTTATCGTGGCACTATTCACAATATCAAAGACTTGGAACCAACCCAAATGTCCATCAATGATAGACTGGATTAAGAAAATGTGGCACATATACACCATGGAATACTATGTAGCCATAAAAAATGATAAGTTCATGTCCTTTGTAGGGACATGGATGAAGCTGGAAACCATCATTCTCAGCAAACCATTGCAAGGACAGAAAACCAAACACCACATGTTCTCACTCATAGGTGGGAAGTGAACAATGAGAACACTTGGACACAGGAAGGGGAACATCACACACCGGGGCCTGTCGGGGGTGGGGTGAGGTGGGAGGGATAGCATTAGGAGATATACCTAATGTAAATGACGAGTTAATGGGTGCAGCACCACACCAACATGGCACATGTATACATATGTAACAAACCTGCACATTGTGTACATGTACCCTAAAACTTAAAGTAAATAATAATAATAATAAAAAGATTTAAAAAAATCTTAGAGATAAATAAAACAATTGTGTGTCTTACCTTTAGTGATATTTCAGGTTAAATGAAAAATGGTAGTTTCCAGCTTACACAGAACAAAATTTTGCTACTAACACCAATAGTTTGGAAATATTCAATATCTTAGAATTTCTTTTTGAAACATAAATTACTTTGTTTTAAACTAATGCCAACCTTTAAAAATTTATTATGTCAATAAAAAAGATCTATTTAATATTTTAAATTTTAATTTTAAATTACTGTTAAGCTGGTATTTTTATTTTTTATGAAATTTAAAAAAACACTTTCCTACACAGAACATAGTAAATTAGGTAATTCAACAACTATTTAACATAGTAGAAAATAGATTAGAGACTGTTTCTAACTTGGAAGGTCACATAGGCTGTCATTCAAATGGCTCATTGTTTGGCATGGGATTTTTAAAGTAGGATCACTTCATAGCAGGGAATTATCACATGGGTCAATTTACCTGTTTCTCTTGTGATAGCTAAATGCTTTAACATCAGTTTGAAATTTTATAACCAATCAATGTATTTGACCAATTTTATTTTCTGGTTTATGTTTTAAGTAAGCCAGTAATATGTTTTTAAGTCCTTAAAAAAGCTCTGATACCTAAAAAGTTATTTCTTTCATTAAATTGTCATTTTTCTTGAATTTTCAAATTGATAAAAATAATAAAAATAATTTTTAAATAAAATTAAACATTTTGCCACAAAATTCACTCTGCTAGTAATTCCATATCAGTTGTTACAGTGAGTTTTGATTAATAATAACTGAAGGTCCCAATAGTAGCTTTATTCATACAAGAAAAGTGTTGGCTATAGCTTACCTTGGACAGATGGCTAATGAATGCCTTTACTTTAGGACTCCATGGTTAGTCTCATTCAAAGTGATGGCCATTTCCTATTTTTGTATATGACTATCAGCTACCACGGGACATTGACAATTAGAAGCAGTAGGACCTCCAGGTGTTTCTCTGCAATTAACCAATTGCAGAGTGTTTATATAAGCAATGAATGGAGGTGGCTTTCTTATCCAATAGTAAATAAACCCACTACGTATTATTTTCTAAATAAATAAGCACAATATCCAATTCCAAAAAAAAAAAAAAAAAAAGGTGTTTGAAAGAAAAAAAAAACTGCCAGACTTCAAAAGAAGCATGGAAGAAACTCTCTGTGAAGCACTATGAAATCTGTAAAGCTGTGGAATTAGACTCAAAAAGGCAATAGACCCAGGGGGTGATGGCCAAAGCCTTCAGCCAGGGAAGAGCTGACATGCGGACTCTTCAGAGGAAAGGTCACCATATATTTTTCACTCTCTTTCAATTTTAAGTACCTCTGTACAATAGGAAACATAAACATGTAAAACTGAAAATGTTTTGGCCCTAGCTATTTCTAAGAAATCAAACATATTGAGTGTGATTGTTGGTCTCCACTTGATTGTCTGAACTTACTGTTTGTAGAAAACCCACTTGGGGCTTCAGTCTGTGCAATTGGAGAGTATGACCAACTGCACACATGGGCACCAAAATATTTGAATTGCCCAAATGTAATGTGTATTTGCAACTTTCTGATGTGGAGCTTGACAAGATCAAATGAGAAAATGTCTCAAACATCACCTCAACAGGTCTAGAACCAAACCCTCATCATAACTGGCCACATTGCTGCAGGCTCAGGTTTAGTTGGCGGCATTTAAAGATCCCATAAATGACTAGGAGTTTACCGTGTAGTCATCCAAATCTCAGTGTGTTGAAGACCATTATCTTTCTGAATCTTTTAAATAATAATTTCAAAAGATGAAGTTGGGGAGGGGCCAAGGCCTTACTTTATGGAAGTCACTGTATTAGGCATTGTCAATTATTTTGATGTATATAATCAACTGATACTTGATATAGATATTATATCAATTTTAAAGATGAGGAAACAAACCCAGATGACTTAGATAAATATCTCTCATTCACGCAGCCAGGAATTTTAGTTTGTTTAATAAGCAGACAAAGAAGGTTGGTACTGGTGCTAGATTAGCCCCCAGATGGAAAAAGGTGACATTGTATTCATTTTTGTGTTGTATGTCCCATCGCTTCAACTTGCAACAAATATTGAAGAATTACCCTAGTTAAAGTGGCTATATGCCTACTTCCTTCCTTTAGTAAACCATCTGAGCTTTCTTCTCCCCCATTCCACTTGTATATGTGACCATGATTGACAATTATCATGTGATTTCAATTTTCATAATATAAAAATTATTCTAGTATTCTGTTCACATTTTTGCTTCTTAAACTCCAAGGTATCCAGGAAGCTTATATTTTTAATGAAAATAAAAACAATTTAAAAAATATTTGTTGTTGTGTTTAGTAGTGTTTAATCTCTTTTTAATAGAACTGACTGAAGAGGATTAAATACATGAGAAATGAAATGAATATTAAACTCTTAGGAAAAAATAAATGGCTTTGTCACTGGAGAACACAAAGAATAAGAGTCAATACATTAAAATGGCAAAAATATATAGTGGGAGTTCATATATTCTTTCCAACTGAACTTCAGATATAAGCAATTCATGAGATGTGATTTGTGGAAAAATATTGCAGATAAAAGAAAGAAATTAGTTTAGGTGAATAATATTCTTTATATTTGCGAAAAATTTAATTCAACTTTTTCAATTAATTTGACTCAATCAAGAAGGTTACATGTCAAATGCTATCTGTGGCTGAACTTACTGGTTGACTGACTTGATTATCCAACTTTGGCAAAAGAGCAGACATAGTTTCTTTTTATTAATAATTCTTTGGTAAAATTAGACTGTCACAGGATAGTGTCATTACTACTCTTACTATTGCTACCGCTACTACCACCAGCTAGCATGTCCAGAGTTGGACAGTCCTTGTGAAAAATTTTAGGTAGCCCGTTTAATTATTAGCACTTTTCATCTTCTCACTAAACACATTGACAGTTACTACAGTTATCCCCCTTTTAACACGAGAAAACTAAAGGCAAGGGTGGTTTGAATTCAATATATAGGCTTCTCTAATGCCAGAGACACTGATCTAACAATGTAACATATTAATAATGTTTCATAACGTTATAAACTTAATTATTGATATAAAATTGGGATTAGAATGATAGTTGCCTATTCTTTCAGAAGTGACATTAGTGTGCCTCCCATGAGCTTTGTTGTCAGAAAGGACTACATTTAATTCCTAGGTCTGTCTTCTTCTATCTTTGTGATTTTCTGAACCTCATCAATAACAGTATAAAAATAATACAGTATCAATCTTGGCACATGGGAAAAGCTGCATAAATATTCATTGAATAAAATGTTAAATCCTGTTACATTTCTTAGGGAGGCAAAAATGAAGTCAATCAACTTTGTATCTAATATCTATAATCATGCCCATTTTTATAGGCACCAAATAATAATGACAACTACAATAAGGATAAAACTAATATTTAGTTCTTAGATGTATTATTTTGTTAATCACAGCTACTATTACTAACTAGGAATTGAAGAAGAACTTTTGGGTCAGAGACAAGTAATCTGTGAATCCTCATAGGTCACATGTACCCTAGCCTGCCCCACCTATTCAGCTACATATCAGAAGAGCAGAATGACAAGATAGAGGGAAATGAGAGAACTGACCTTTTATTTTACACTCCTTTTTTACACTCTTTTTTCTATTCAGGAATGCTAAAAGAGTCCTTTACAAGCAGTTTCTTTATCAATAAGCCTGTCAGTTCTGGCTCAAAAAAAAAAAAAAAAAACAAAACATCCTCTTTTCTGTTATCACATCACTAAAATTACCATTGCCAAGAGGAACCTCATAGACTCTAAAATCTTTGAATGATTTTTACCTTCTCATGTTTTTTTGCTTTCTCTTGACGTTTGACTCTCTTGATCACTCTTACTTTCTGAACCCTCTCTTCTTCCCAAATACCATACTCTGCTGTTCTTTCTATAGTTTCCTTATCTGTTACATCTCAGCCTCTTTCACACTCCTCTTGGTTTGATCTTAAAGAGTGAAGGGTTCATCCTTGAGCCTCTTTTTGTAGTATATAAGCTGTCTCTAGATGACATTATCCATTTCAAATGCTTTACCATTTATATTCTGAATTCTTCAAAATCCCTTTCTCTCTCCCAGATTAGTCTTCTCATCTCCAGAGACATCATATTTGACCTCTACTCATTATTTATATTTTATTATTCTACAGGCATTTCCAACTCAATATGCTTAAATCAGAAAACTGTTTTCTCTCTCTACCTTCCTTTAGTGACAAAATTGCTTCCTTTTTGATATTCTGATTTCAGTGAGCACCTGGTTATCAAGTTTGCTGATGAAATATGAAACTTAAGAATCATCCTTTAATCTTTCCTTCAGGATCTACATCCAAATCATCAATCATAAACCATCTATTCTGCATCCTTATTAACTACTAAATTCACCTAAGTTCCTTCTGTTTTTCATTATAATCTTAGTTCAAATAACATCTTTTTGAGCTGCAAAACTCTTCAGGAAAATTTTCTTCCAGGCTTGAACCTTGTTCTTTTTAGCCATGATCATCCAAAATATAAATTTGGCTGAATTACTATTTTGCTTAAAATAAATGGCTGACATATCATTTAAGATGAATTTCCAACCCCTTGGAGAACGAAATTTTTTGGTTTTTAACTTTAATTTTTTTGTAATGATATTATTCTTGTCTACCTCTTTAACTGGAGTTTCTACAATGGTTAACATATCTCCTACTTCTCTGTCATCCAGAGTGACTTGCAGTTCCCCAAGTTTTTCACACTCACTTAGCACAGGTTTCCTTTCAGGGTATAGGCTGCTTTATTACCCAGATTGCATGCCTGCTACCTAATCTCCTTCATGGGCTGAGATTTTCTCAACTTCAGAGCTCAGGTTGATCATTTCACTTTTTCTTTCCTGAAGGTTTTTCTGACTGTGCCCTCTGTAACCAGAAGATGTGCCACTCTGCCATGCAGGGAGCTTCTCTCTCATAGCACTCATCACACTGTATTGGAACTTGCCTCCAATCTGAAGGCTCAAGAATAGGACATGCACACTGTGGCTTCTTGCATCCCCAGCATTGAGCAGAATACCTGGCATAGAGCTGGGCTGAACAAATATTTATGTGATAAATAAAAACATGAACGTGCTAGAGAAATTACCAAGTGGCATCTAAGTACCACCAGTGCAAATTGATTCAAAAAGTTAAAATAGTTTTTTTTTTTTTGGAAGAAATATATTCTATATCCCGGAGTACAAGGGAAAACATTAGATAACAGTAAAGAATAAAACATTGAGTAAAAGCACAGGTAGGAAAGGGAGGCACTGGCTCAGCTCTAGTAGCCAAGGTACTCACAATTAAAAGAACATCACAAGACATGGAAAGATATTTATTCCTGATTAAACCCATCAAAAATAATCCCTTTCATTATCTTTGTAATATATGCCCTCAGTTTTGTAGAAGATAGTCTCAGTAAATATTAAGCCTTGAATCTTTTGAAGATCTCTTACTACACATTCCTGCTGTGAAAGCTGTTAGCATACAATATTTCCTAAAGATGACATGTTGCATATTATACCCTAACCTGATGGGAAGAATCATGTGGATGCTTAAAGCAAACATAGTATGTTACTTTTATGCAATGCTTATATTACTTTTGCCTCATGCCCAGCTTCAAGCCTTTAGAATCCAAGGAGAGAGAGCACAAAATCTAGGATACTTTATTGTAAGAAGGTTAGCCAAGGAGTTCCTACAAATGAATGCATCTTCTGTTACCATAAAAGGAGTCTCCTTTTTTTCATCATCACTTTATAATCTTAAAAACACTTCCCAAGTAGATATGAAAGGTATTCAACTAAAAGTGTAAAAACAGCCTCTCCTCAATGTCTTCATTCTATCTGATTATTTTAGGGAAAAGAAAGTCCATGTGATGCCCCCTTCTCTTAATTTCTTTGGCTGACCTCCAAAGTGTTAACTGTCAGCTAGTGTTAGCTAAATAAGAATGAGCTATGGCCCAAGGCCCATATACTGTAGTCATATGCATGACAATATGCCCCCTGTATTAGCACTGCTGAATGTCAGGAATAGGGACCATCAATATAATTCTATTTATTCTGATGCCCAAAGACTGAGTAAGGACATCAGGAACTGTTACCGAAACAGACAGAAAACTTTGTGACAAAGCTCTCTTAGCTTAAGTATCTTATTCAAGTATAATTAAATCTCACCTTATAAAGGAAGGCTTTGGTGATTAATCTCATCTGCCATCTTTTCTGCTTGGCAGGCTCAACTTTCTTTATCCATGTTTAATATTTTAATTGTCATTATGTGGTATTTTTCTCTGTAAATGCAATCTTCATGTGTGTGTGTACATATATGTTCTATCTACTCATTTAGATAGTAGCTTGATTAGAAACATGATTTCTGTTTTATATTTGTTCTTTATCCTTTCTCTTTTTAGAATATCTCATCTATGTTAATTTTCTGAGCATATATGCTATATAAACATATTAAAACATTTTTATGTGATTATCAGATATGCTCAGTTCTGTAATATATCATAATATTGCTTTCTTTGAATTGACAAAACAAAAAGAACCTAAGGAAGACAATACCTCACAATATTTTCAAAACCATAGATTATTCCTCTGTATATATAATCTTTCTTTGTTGTTATAAAAATATAAATATATGTATAGACATACTTTAAGCAAAAGCAAGACCACATCTACATTCAGCCTTCTAAAATTCATTTTTTCCATTTAATATTAAAATAGCTTATTAACAATGAATTTTCAATTGTAAAACTTTGATTAAGTAGTTATTATACTGGATCTTATGCCTTTCCCGATTTTCCCTCTAGTGAAAAATGCACATAGTAACATAGTAGTATGACACAGAGGAGTCAATTTCCATTAACAAATAATGCTTCAAAGCCTCAAGAAACTGAAAACCTTTTTGAAAAATATCTATCAATCCCTGAGCAAAAAGGTCTATAATTTCATTTTGGATATCTTAGAATGTGAATCAATGTTACATCTGCCTAGACCTCTTAAATGGTTACATATTAAAAAACAACAAAAGGTTTTTTTTTATTAAATATATAAAGACACAACAGTATCTTACATATAATGATTCATAACTATAAAACTACTTCTTTGATATAGAGTTATCATACCACTAAAAATGGCTCTGGCAATCTCAGTTAAGAGTTTTAAATATTTGGTCTAGGTTTGTTTCAATGTATCACTTAATTATCGTTGTTGTTGCTGTTAACTGTTGCATGAAAACAACTCAGGATAGGTTTTGTAGATTACTATACAATACTACATCCTACCTAGCGATGTGTGACACATACGCTCTGAACAGGGGCCTCATTTCAATATGGAGTTAAATCTCTTTTTCCTCTACCCGCTCCTGATACAACATGGTTACGGCAGGTATTAGATAAAATAAGGTGCATCCATTCAAGTGGGGCTTGAGGACATTTTACCCCTTCTGGTCTCTGAGGGCAGTGGAAGAAATATGTGATGTTGCTGACCCTGTTGTCCATTTAATGAGCCAGTCAGTTGTGCCTTGGCTGATGCCAATGCCAATGACAGCCACTAAGCTGTCAGGCTATCAGTGAGCTGGATCAGAGAGAAAGTGGAATTAATATGTTAAAGTATATATGAAATATATGACAAAAAATAGAGGCTGAGAATTTCTGCTTTAGTATCTATGGAGAAAAGTTTCTTGCCACATTGTGGATTTGAAAATCTATGGTTATTTTATTGTTGATTAAAACTTTATTCTTATTTCAAAACAAACCATCTTCAGTTTTGAACTTTCATTTCCAGAGAAGCTTCATGATACACAAAATATTTGTTTCATCAATTTGGAAAATGTTTGGTCATTAATTATTCAAATCGTCTTCGGTCAGCCTTCTCTTCTTCTCAGGGGATTCCAATTACAATTGGTATATTGCTTGTCCTTTTTCTTTTACTTTTTTGAGTCCTTTTTTCTCTGTGTGTTTCATTTTAGATAGTTTTTATTGCTTTGTCTTCAAGTTCACTATCTTTTCTTCTGCAATAATCTCTTATCTGCCAGTAATTTCATCCTTTCTTGAAATTTCACATGTTGTAGTTTTCATGTATAGAAGTTTGATTTGGGTCATTTTTATATCTTTCATGTTGCTAATTAACATGCTTTATCTTTCTACTAGCTTTTTGAAGATAGGGAACACAATTAAGATAACTGTCTTAGTGTTCTTTTCTGTTAATTCTGTGTGTCACTTATGGGTAGGTTTCAATTGATTGAGCTGTCTAATTATAGATCATATTTTCCTGCTTCTTTTCATGCCAGGACTTTTTTACTGGATGCCAGATACTGAAAATTTTACCATGTTGATTGCTGGATGTTTTTGTATAACTACAAATATTATTAAGTTTTGTTATGGGGCATGTTTAAGTTATTTGGAAGTAATTTTATCTATGTTAGGGTCTTATTTTTATTATTTGTTAGGTGAAGTCAGAACAGAATTTAATTTAGGGATATTTATTCCTCCCAGGAAGACGCTTCTGAGAATTAAAGCCAGAGCCTCATAATTGTAAGGTTTTAAGTTCTCGCTAGTGGAAAGTTATTAGTCCCCACCCTGTGTGAGCCCTGAGTACTCTTTCCTCTAATCCTTTCTGGTGATTCTTTCTGGTGGCCTCCCCCTACACACATGCCTGCTGAATACTGAAGGAGACTTTCAGAAGATCTCCGGAGATTCCTGTGTCTTCAATTCTCCCTTCACTGGGACTCTGATCAGGTTACCACAGACTTTCTACTACATATCCTCATCTGTGAGAGCTTGCTAGGCTCCATCAGTTTCCCTCAACTTCTGTTCCACATTCCATGGCCTGAAAACCCCTCTTAAGGATGTAAGATGGAACAATTGTACGGCTTGCCTAATTTGTTATCCCTTTCTCAGGAGCACTATGCTTTGTTCTCTGATGCGAAAAATCTTCAGAAACATTGATTTGAATATTATGGCTGGTTTATTAGTTGTTTCAAGTGGGATAATAAAACAAGTCCCATGACTACATATTGGTAGGAAGCAGAAGTTCCTCACAAAATACTTGTTGAATTTGCCATCCATCATATAGTATACCACTGATGATATGAAAACCTAAAGATAAAAATTTGCTGAAGATGCATCAGCACTAACATCAAAAACCAGAATTTATTTTTAGATGATTGCTCCCAAAGAAATTGATTTAACCCTAGGAGCTGCAGAAGAAAGGCTCTGTGAAGCATGACTGTTCATTTAGATCAAATGATTGTTCTCATTTAACTTACTTTTTTTTTCAAGAATTGTTATCTAATGCATAAAAAGTGAGGAGATAGCTTTTAATGTGTTCACTTCATTAGTCAAAAATGTCTTAAATATTTACATTGTTTTAGTATGTAAATGTCATCAAAAAATTCAAATTTAAAAATAGGTTATTCTGATGAATGATTTAAATTTTTATTAATGTAAATAAAGTAAAGGTTTTGGAAATTCATTATGTTAGAAATAAGCATCTTATATTACTGATAGTGCTATTGGGAAGTCAGATTAGTAATTCAATAAATTCAATATTATAGATAAAACAATGTGGTGATGTGGTGATTATAAAAATACAACTTTAGGTGGAGCACAACCTTATGGGTAAAACAATGTCCTTACTAAATTAAGAATTCTATGAAACAAAAATATACTTACAATTGATTTTGCTGCCCATGTAGTTCAAAACTGCATTCATAAAAGCTCCAATAATATACCATCAGAAATTAAAGCTGCTGTCAAAACATATCAATATTTTATAAATACAGAATTACAGTAAACTATAAAATGTTCATCACAAAGCTGATTTTGAAAAAAATACATCAGTATGGCAATAGATGTGCATTCTCAGACAAATTTTAAAATGTTTTACCCTTTGAAGAATAACTGTAAAATTCAAATTAAGTATCTCAAATGATATGTTGCCATTGCTTTTAAGTGAATCCTTTATGGTTTGGTTAAATTTTGTTCAAATAAGTTGAAAATCTTGAGTCAAAATTATTAATGGAGCATGAAAAACTTCAGTTTTTGATATTTAAGTAAATTGAAGTTACGGAAAACCAGTTTAGAAATAAGACTTTATATCTCTAAATAATAGAGAACAATGGGCTATCGCTACACACCTATCAGAATGTCTAAATTCTAAATTCTAAAACACTAACAATACCATGCCAAATACTGGAGAGGAGAATACAAAACAATAGGAACTCTATTTAACACCACACACACACACACACACACACACACACACACAAACTTTCCAGGAAAATGTTTGATGCCTCATGATCAGGAGATTAAGCAATGGGAGCAAGATTAAATCCCTCAGGCAAACAGTCGACAAATGATCACTAGACACAGTGACTTTGTAATAATGACCATCGCCTTGCCTTTTCATTTAATGTTTAAAAGAAGATTCTGGAAGTACCCAACAAAATGGTGAGATGAGGAGATCTGTGAGAACACAGTTATCCTTGCAACTGGCAAACTTTAGAATATATCTTTATTAATTTAAAAAGGATCATATTTCTAATATCTAAATCTGATAAATACACAAGCAAAAGTTATGTGCCTTGTTTAATATAGAATATGTCTATACTAGAATATAAATATAAAGTCTGTATTAGAATATAAATCATCCAAAATGATTTATAAAGCAGTGAAGTAAAAAATTCCTAAAGAAAACCCACCATCACAACCAAGCAGGATTTATCCCAGGGAAACTCAAATATCGCTCACTTGTCTAAAATATAATAATACCATATCATAATAATAGATAAAACAATGCATATCATATCACCATTTAAAAAGATGCTCCAAATTTAACACTCATTTCTGAATATTTAAAAATAGCCGTTTTAGAAAACCAGAAACAGTGGTACGGGAGTGGAGCAGGGAAGTGCTGGAAAGGGAAGGGCGTGGTCCCTGGCTAGGGCTCCACCCCTGGGCCTGTGCCCACGGACCTAGGTAAGGACAGGGATTTCTGTTTTCCTGCCCAAATGTTGCATTTCCCAAGACCACCCTGGCTTGTCACGCCCCCATCCCGTGCCTGCAAAGACTCCCGAGACCCTAATGGGCTTGGGTACAAGCAGCTGGACGTGGAGAAGAACACACCACCGGAAGAAGACACAAGCGGCTGGACGTAGAGGCACCTACCTGAGTAAGAGCGCACCGGCGGATGCTGGCAGGCTGGCAGGCCATCGAGGCCCGAAGCAGATTTTGGCTGGGGCGGACAGAGGAGAGCCCTGCTGCTGAGCAGCCCTACCCCAGGGGAAAACCAACTTCCCACTCCATCTCTCCCTTCTGTCTTCCCCATCTGCTGAGAGCTACTTCCGCTCAATAAAACCTTGCGCTGATTGTCCAGGCCCGGGTGTAATCCAATTCTTCCGGTACACCAAGGAAAGAAACCCCGAAATACAGAAAAGCCCTCTATCCTTGCAATAAGGCAAGGGATCTAATTGAGCTGATAAACACAAGCTTCTTACAGATGACTAAACTAAAAGAGCACGGGGTAACACACACCCACAGGAGACTCAGGAGCTATAAACATTCACTCCTAGATGCTGCCTTGGGGTTAGAGCTCCTCAACGTGCCCCTCTGCACGCTCCGGCTAGAGGTTTGAGCAGCGGGGCACTGAAGAAGCGAGCTACACCCCCATCGCACGCCCTGCTAGGGAATAAGGGAACTTTCCCGTTTCAATAGAATACTTGAATAATGCATAATGCATATCTTTAACTAAAAACCCACGCTATACTTATCAGCAAATTACTAAAATCATTCCCCTTAGATTCTAAGAAAAAGGCACATGATTATCACTCTAATACTTTTTTATGAATTCTGTTAAGTACAATCTAATCTAAACTAAAAAGAAGAGAGGATTTAGTTTTTGAATAGAAGAAAACAAAATTTTCTCTAATTGCAGATTGATATTATGTGAATAAAAATAACAATAAATTTAATAACTTTCATAGTTATTAAGCAACTTTTTGAATGAATAATATAAATAATATGTATGTATAAAAGAGATAAAATAGCTTCTATATTCGAAAGTATATGAAAACTCATTAGAAACCATAGGTGTGCATGCATCTACACACACACACTCACACACACAGAGGAGTTAAAATAATAATCAGTTACTAAATGTTCCCAAAAGTGGCAAGAAAGAAAAGAAATACAAGGAGGTGATGCTCCATTGCCAGCAAAGTTGCAATGAGGCTGACATTCTATAGAGTACCTCTATAAAGTGACACACATCACTGAAACACTTACACAAATACATGATGAGATGACAATTTTAAATATAAAGTGAGGTTATCTTCCTTCTTCATTCTTTGAATTCATCATTCTTTTTCCACCATCCAGGCATCAGCCTTAGCTTTAAATATGCGGTGCCACATACTGAAATAAAAAGTGAACAATTGCTGAAGAAAGTGACCCATACTCGCTCCATTCCCCCTCCTCCCTTGTCCTTTAAGGACACTTCCTGGAAGATCATGAGCCAAAGCCAGGAGAAACAGAACATAAAGGATATAAAATTAACCATTAAGCAGCGGAAGAAAATAGGATAAGCCTTAAGCAGAGTTTCTCCCTTTACTGGGAAATATGCTAAATGTCAACCAGATGGTGAGAGGAAAGAAGAGGACCTGGGTCCTGGGCCCGGGTTTTGGATACTGTTTGAGCACCTGAGTAAAAGTTCCATGCCCCATCCCCTCATGTCTTGGCCTGAGAGGGTAACATAGGCAATATGAAAAACTTTCTGACAGAAACCATTGAATGATTTTAGTGATATTTGAGGACAGTTCTATCTCATACTTTTTTACTCAAAAGGTGACCAGTCTCTAAAAGTAGACTTGCAGCTTGTATGGCTGGATCCAAGGGCGAGATCAGAGGTTGGCCTCTGCAGATGGGGGTAAAGGGCAGCCCAAGAGAGGCTTGTTTATCGATCAGAATGTGCTTCAGGGAATTCCTAAACCATCCAAAAGCTGAGGTTAAATCGATGCTTGGAAAGAGAGTAGGACTTGATTCTGGAGGGACTGCAGATACAAGGGTCCCAGATTCACCGACCACGTAACTGCAAGCAGGGGTGGGAGCTCAGAAATCAGCATCCGATGCTGCCACAAAACAGCGCGTATCTCAGCAGAGACCAACAGGAACTGAAGAGCCCTTCTCAGTTCAAACACCCATCTGCTAAGGCTAGGGAGACTTGTATGTCTGCCAAAGAAGTTGAAATACCTCCAAGGAGAAAGAGAAGCAAGACACCTAAATCGAATTCAATATTTAGTAAAAAACAAAACAACAAAGCCAAACCTTAGTTCTAAAATAGAAATTAATGAGTTACCTTGAATTTGTGTGATTATTTTCCTATCCATATAAAAAGGGTTTGCAAGTTTCATTGATTTGCTATAGAACAATTAAGTTTAACTTTTACTTCATTAAATTTGTGTCTTTGAAATTTATAAGCCAAATAGCTTTTAATGTCACACCTAACAGGATTTATGTGTCTGTGGTGGTATACAAAGAATCTTGAAACATGTAGAAATTTTGCCTCTCAAATTCTTAGAAAACTGGAGTTTTAGAGATTTATCCACAAGGATGTTTATTGTGGCATTAATTATAATAGACAAAAATTGTTAATTTTATAAACACCAGTGATTGGGGATTGAATTTGAATGCAGTTACTAAAAGTTATGTTTTATGAAATTAATGAAATGAAATGATAATACAATATTCAGTAAAGTAAGCAGAATATAGGAAAATTGGGTGGAAGAAATTGTTATTCTTTTTACACTTTTGGCATAGTTGTAATATTTAAAATATCTTAATGTTTCTTAAAACAGATAAACTGATTACATTCTTCAAAAACAAATACTTAATATTTAAATATTTGAGAATACGTAAAAGGCATGTATTCTTAAAGAGATGTTATCTCTTTTGTAAAAACCAATAATACAGGGTTTTTCTGACTGTGGATTCTGCATCTAAAGGATATTTCCAAAGTTGCTTTATTTTTAATTTTTATTTTTTTAATTTTATGAGTATATAATAGGTATGTATATTTATGGGGTACATGAGATATTTTGATACAGGCATACAATGTGTAATAATCACATCAGGGTGAATGGGGTATCCATCACCTCAAGCATTTGTCATATCTTTGTGTCACAGACATTCCAATTATACTCTTTTAGTTATTCAAAAATGTGCAATACATTATTATTGACTACAGTAATTCTGTTGTGCTGTCAAATACTAGATCTTATTTATTCTTTCTAACTATATTTTTGTACACATTAACTACCCCCACTTCCCCTCCAACCCTCCAGTACTCTTCTCAGCCTCCGGTAGCAATCATTCTACTTTCTATCTCCATGAGTTCAATTGTTTTAATTTTTGGTTCTCGCAATTGAGAGAGAACATGCATTGTTTGTCTTTCTGCACCTGCCCTATGTCACTTAACATAATATCCTCCAGTTCCATTCATATTGTTGCAAATAATGGGATCTCATTATTTTTTATGGCAGAATAATAGTCCATCGTGTATATGTACCACATTTTCTTTATCCATTCACCTACTGATGGACACTTAGATTGATTCAAAATCTTAGCAATTGTGAATAGTCCTGCAATCAACTTGGGAGTGCGCATATCTCTTCAATATACTTATTTCCTTTTTAGGAGGGTATATACCAAGCAGTAGGATTACTGGATCATATGGTAATTCTATTTTTAGATTTTTTGGCAAACTTCCATACTGTTCTCCATCATGGCTGTACCAACAGTGGACAAGTGTTCCCTTTTCTTCATGTCCTTATCAGAATTCATTATTTCCTATCTTTTGGATAAAAGACATTTTAACTGGGATGAGATGATATTTCATTATAGTTTTGATTTGCATTCCTTTGATGATCTATAATGTTGAGCACCTTTTCATAATACCCATTTGACATTTGTATGTCTTCTTTTGAGAATTGTTTATTCAGATATTTTGTCTATTTTTTAATTGGATTATTTTTTTTTCTGTTGAGTTGTTTGAGTCCTTATACATTCTGGTTATTAATACTACATCAGATGGATAGTTTGCAAATATTTTCTCCCATTCTGTGGGTTGTCGCTTCACTTTGTTGATTGTTTCCTTTGCTGTGCAGAAGCTTTTTAACTTGATGTGATCCCATTTGTCCATTTTTTCTTTGGTTGCCTGTGCTTGTGGTATATTACTCAATAAATCTTTGCCCAGACCAATGTCTTGGAGAGTTTCTCCAATGTTTTCTTGTAGTTGTTTCATAGCTTGAGGTCTTACATTTAAGGTCTTTAATTCTTTTTGATTTGAGAAATAGAGGTCTAGTTTAATTCTTCTGCCTATGAATACCTAGTTTTCCCAGAACCATTTCATGAAGAGACTGTCCTTTCCTCAATATATGTTCTTGACACCTTTGTCAAAAATCAGTTCACTGTAGATAGTATGGATTTATTTCTGGGCTCTCCATTCTGTTCCATGGGTCTATGTGTCTGTTTTTATGTGAGTACCATGCTGTTTTGTTTACTATAGCTCAGTAGTATAATTTGAAGTCAGATAATGTGATTCCTCAAATTTTGTTCTTTCTGCTTAGATTGGATTTGGCTCTTCTGAATTTTTTGTGGTTCCACATAAGTTTTAGCATTTTTCTTCTATTTCCACGAATAATGTAATTGGTATTTTGATAGAGATTTAGAGATTATATTGAATCTGTAGATTGCTTTGGGTAGTATAGATGTTTTAACAATATCAATTCTTCCAATCCATGAACATGAAATAGCTTTCCATTTTTTTCTGTTCTCTTAAATAACTTGCATCCATGTTTTGTAGTTGTCATCACAGAGATCTTTCACTTCTTTGGTTGAGCTTATTCCTAGTATATTATTTTATTTGTAGCTATTGTAAATGGGATTACTTTCTGGATTTCTTCTTCAGATTATTTGTTGTTGGCATATAGAAATGCAACTGATTATTTATGTTGATTTTGTATCCAAAGTTGTTTAATTTAAGAAAATTATTTGGTACAAATTTAACAAATCTTAGCTCGATTCTCAGATTTTTTGGTGGCTTTACATAGGTGAAGGATATATTTATCTCCTCTGTCTCTGAGTTCCCACAGTATACCTTATCTGTGTCACTCATTCTGATACTAACCTTATACTTCAATTGACAATGGGGTTATGTACTGATAAACCCAGCACAAATTGAAAATATTGAAAGTTGAAAATGCACTTAATATACCTAAGTACTTAAACTGCCTAATATTATATCTTTAATTAATACACCTAGCTTGACAAATATCACAGCTTAGCCTAGCCTATCTTAAAAGTGCTCAGAACACTTACATTAGCCTAATTTTGGGAAAAAATCAAAATTCAAACTTTAAGGTATGGTTTATATTGAATTTATACCACTTTTACACAGTAGAAAAGTTGAAAAATTTTAAGGGGAACCGTGACAAGTTAGGGACCATCTGTCTAGTGGGTTTCCCTGTTACTTCACTCAGCCAAATGTGGATAGCTTTCATCCCAACTCAACTGCAAGCTATTGAAGAGCAGACGAGAACAAAGTTTGAAACAAGTGACCTTAGATTTCATTCTGCCTCTCTTTTCTCTAGCCCCAAGCTCTGTCTAGCATTATGAGTCAAAGAGTAAATACTTAATGCTCAGATATTTAAAAATTTATTTCATTGACCTGCAAAGGAATGTCATAAAGAATTAATTGTATTTTGTAGTAAACTTATACAGTTCTCTCCCTGGAGATTGAAAGTTCTCTTCTGAGGTAGATTCCAAGTCAGTTTATCATTTTCTTCAGCTCTTTGTTCTAGAACACTGGTTGTGAGGCTTGTCAATGAGGTCATCCTACACCTAAGTTAAAAGGGGCGGCCAGTCAGGGTGGCTCACGCCTGTAATTCCAGCACTTTGGGAGGCCGAGGCGGGCGGATAACAACGTCAGGAGATCGAGACCATCTTGGATAACACAGTGAAACCCCGTCTCTACTAAAAATACAACAAATTGGCCGGGTGTGGTGGCACAAGTTTGTAGTCCCAGCCACCTGGGAGGCTGAGGCAGGAGAATCACTTGAACAGGGGAGACGGAGGTTGCAGTGAGCCGAGATCGTGCCACTGCACTCCAGCCTGGGTGACAGAGTGAGACTCCGTCTCAAAAGTAAATAAATAAATAAATAAATAAATAAATAAATAAGGGGGCATTTTCTAGTTTCCGCTTTATATGAGCTCAACATTGCTCTAGATTTTAGTGTGAAATCAATTTCTACAAAAACTATCTACTGATTACAGAGTCCATTGTTTTAACTGGGAGTCCACTTCCAGGTATGTGTACTGTTTACATATAGAGATTTTCCTTATAGGCTTTCTAATGGAATGCCCCTTTAAAAATAAAATATTAAGCTGAGAGTGGTGGCTTATGACATAAACTCAGCAATTTGGGAGGGTAAGGCAGAAGGATCATTTGAGGCCAGGAGTTTGAGACCAGCTTAGGCAACATAGCGAGATCCTGTCTCTTAAAAAACTTAAAAATAAAAAAAATTAGCTGGACTTGGTGGTGCACACCTGTAGTCTCAGCTACTTCAGTTGCTGAGGTGGGAGGATTTCACTCTGGCCCCAGAGGTCAAGGCTGCAGTGAGCTATGATTGCGCCACTGCACTCCAGCCTCGGTGACAAAGTGAGAACCTGTCTGGGGGGAAAAAAAAAACAGAAAATATTATTTTTGAAGAATAAAATGACCATATTTATTTTTCTATGAATCTGTTTTTCAATGTCTGTCTATCTTTATTCACCCTTCCCAGACCATTTGAGAGTAAATTCAAAAAGATTATCTTTTACCTCTGGCCAGGCATGGTAGCTCACACCTATAATCCCAGCACTTTGGGAGGCCGAGGCGGGTGGATCACGACGTCAAGAGATCGACACCATACTGGCCAACATGGTGAAATCCCGTTTCTACTAAAAATACAAAAATTTGCTGGGCATGGAGGCATGTGCCTATAGTCCCAGCTACTCAGAAGGCTGAGGCAGGAAAATCGCTTGAACCCGGGAGGTGGAGGTTGCATGAGCTGAGATTGTGCCACCGCACTCCAGTCTGGGCAACAGAACAAGACACCGTCGAAACAAAAAAAAAAATTATATTTTGCCTCTAAATTCTTTAATGTATACCTCCTAAAATAAGAATATTCTCTTACATCTTTTATATAACATCAATACAAATATAAAAATGAGGAAATTAACATTGATACAAAATTATCATCTAATATACAACAAATACACGCTCAAATATCACTAGTTGTTCCAATTATATTTTTTAGAATTTTTTTTCCTGGTTCAGGATCCAGCCCCGGATTATGTGTTACATTTCATGCCTTATCTCTTCAGTCATCTTTAATATGGAATCATTCTTCTCTGTGTCTGTCTTTTGAGAGCTTGACATTTTTGTGAAGCAAAAAATAAGTGATTTTAAAGGAGTATTTATATCAGAAATACACATCCTCTGTACTAAAATATTTTATTCACATGAATTTTGTGAAGACATGATAATTGCAAAAGGTTAGAAATCATGGATTTGAGTTTAAAATTTTATTTTTTTAGCTTTTTAGTTTCCTTGTGATTGGTGTTACAGAATGTGGGTCCATTTTTAAATCTCATATGAACACATAATATTTGAAGTCAATACATTTATAGCTTCTAGGGGGATGGTGCATAGAAGGCAAGGACAAGGGAAAGAAGAAGAAAGATACAGAAGAGAAAAAATAGTCTTTTTTTTTTCTTTTTAAGAAAGGGATTTCATTATCTGAGAATTATCTGGAAAGCTTTTCAACTGTTGAAGATATATTTAGCAAACATCCTAAAAATGCTTCCTTTTCTCTTGAAATAAATAAGTCAGTAAATTACAATCCTCCAGGTTTTCCCAAAATACTGCAAGAAAGAACATCTCTCTTGGATATCCAATTTAATTACCTCAGGAGTAGTCCTTGTTGCAATATTTCATGGCCAATGCAAGTGACCTAGAAATTTACAAACCTGCTGTGGGAAAAAACAGTAAACGTGCCTTAGTTACTTTTTACAAGTTTTGTACAATACTAATGGAACTACAGCTGTGCTTTTAAACATGTAAAATCCCCATGCAACAATACTAAGTAAAATTGGTTTAGAAAACACTGGAGCTTATGAAGACTCCAGTGGTTTATTGGAAAATCTTGCTCTTTGTATATTACTAAAACATGAACATTGGAAAAATAATGTTTACATTAGTGCAAGTAATTTGGTAAAACATCTTAATAAACCAAATTAGTTAAATCTCTTCCAGTGACGCCATTCTTTATTTCCCGCAAAAGATAATTAAAGCATCTTCTTAATTGTTGGGACAATAGGAAGAACAAAAAAAATCACCTTTAATAATATAAAAATGGTGGTGAAATTATTTTAATTTTCCTATATCTCTCTTGCTTTCTCTCAATGTACTACGAATCTTTATTTATACTCAGAAATATTTTGTCAGGGTCAAGACCAGGCCAGTGATTCAATTATTTATTTCAAAGATTAAACATGTTCAAATAATCATTGAGAGAAACTAATTTTATTCTGAGAATTGTTCTGAAAAAATATCCTACTTGGGTCTGGTTACGTTTCTTAACTGTTTTAGGAAGTATTTAGACCACAAATAGTAATTTTGCTAATATATGCTATTTCTCAGCTGACTATCTCTTGAGAATTGCACTTAAGATGCAGTAATTATTTTTGTCATTTTCAAATAGATCACTAAAATTCATATTTAGTGTTACTGACAGTGCTGTAAGCAATTAAATAAACAGATATTGTTGATAGCTATATTTTGAAAACAACTGTTGTTTTAAAAAAAAATTCCACGTTGTTTACAATTTTTCTGTGTCCACAGTATCCCTGGTGTGCAACTGCATAAATGTAGGCTCAAACCTCCTTAAGCATTACTTTGCAGATCCCACTGGTGGGTAGAATGACCTCTTTCACCTTGTCAAAAGGACAAACTTGTCAAGCTCACCATAGTCAATACTCTGAAGAGCATCCCTTCAGTTCAGAGACATGGACCAAGCAGGGACTTCGTAGTGCAGATGCTGAGATGTGTGGGCTTGACAGAGACAAATAGTACCAGGACTCACCAGCTGATCAACGACAAAGGGACATCGGGCCTCTGAAGCTGAAGCCCACTTAGATTTCTCCTATATCACTTAACAATGTGAGAAGAGACTTAATTCTTTGAAGCTCCTGATTTAAGGAGCTGAAGAGCAAAGGAAGCCTTTTGCCTGATCTAATCCTTGTTATTAAAAGAAGCAGAGGAGATAAAACACTTTCTATTTTTATCGATTGATGTATTTTGAGGTCAGTATTTTAGTCTGTTCATCTATATCTTGCCCTCTGCCCTCATTTCAAAGTACTTATTCACTTCTGATTAGAATTCCAATTAATTTGCTGAAATGTCCTTTAACTGATTACAGTTAACTCTTTCCAAATTGAAAGAGACTTTGCTTTATTTCACTTGGGCTGTTCATTATCATTTATTTTGCTCTTCAATTTAATTAAGAATTCCAATTGAAAAATCTCTGAAAATTTACTGACATAAATTAATTTAGTTTGACATCTGTTCCAAAGTAAGTTGGAAATCAGAATCTTCTCTCTCCTCAAGCATAGTTCATTCTCTAATATCTTTGAAAAAAAATTTAAGAAATGAAGTTCTTTGCTCTTTTCTTTTACTGCCTAGATTCACTTTGTACCTTAAATATTTGCTAATATTGATAGAAATGTAATTTTATATTACTGAATTCCAATGACCTTCTGAAAATTTCTGCAAATTCTCAGCGCAAGAACGAGATGCATCTTATGGTTCTCTCTGTCTTTGATCTCATGCTCCTGCTGACTTATTTCAGTTTGGATATCTTATTTTCTGTCCAGGGCATGATGCTTCCATTTTTAAGGGTATTGACAGAAATGTAGTATTGAAGACTCCTCCACAAATGCTTCGGTTTCACAAGTAATTCATGTGAAGTAGTTACATTGTCCAAAGGTTTTATAATAATGGGGAGTTTTAGAACGCAAGTATGCTAACGGCATCATGGTATTAGACTTTTCATTTTAATTTTTTTCATTGATTAAATCTGCCATCTTATGTGGGCATGCTTCCTAGCACCCCAAAACAATTACAATAGCACCAGAGATTGCCGATCACAGGTTATCATAACAAATATAACAATGATGAAAAAGCTTGAAATATTGTGAGAAGTACCAAAATGTGACACAGACACACAAAATGAGCACATCCTGTGGATAAAATGGCACAAATATACTTGCTTGACCCAGGGTTGCTACAAAACTTCAAATTTTTTGGAATAATTTCAACTTTTTTTATAGATTAAAGGGTACATGTACAGGTTTGTTACATTAGTATATTGTGTGACACTCAGGTTTGGGGTACAAATGATCCCATCCCCCAGGTAGTAAGCATAGTACCCAATAGGTTGTTTTCCAGCTCATGGCCTCTTCCTACCCTCCCACATGAAGTAGGCTGCAGTGTCTATTGCTCTTATCTTTATGTTTATGTGTATTCAGTGTTTAGCTTCCACTTGTAAGCAAAAACGTGCAGTATTTGGTTTTCCGTTCTTGTGTTAATTCACTTAGAATAATGACCCTGAGTTCCACCCTTCTTGCTGCAAAGGACATAATTGCATTTTTTATGGGTACCTAGTATTCCATGGTATATATGTACCACATTTTCTTTCTCCAATCTACTATGATGGACATCTAGGCTGATTCTATGTCTTTGCTATTGTAAATTGTTCTGTAATAAACATATGGAGGCATGTGTCTTTTGATCAAATGACTTATTTTCCTTTGGGGATATATCCACTAATGAGATTACTGGGTTGAATGGTATTTCTGTTTTGAGTTCTTTGAGAAGTCTCCAAACCACTTTCCACAGTGGCTGAACTAGGTCACATTCCCACCAACAATGTATAAGCATTCTCTTTCTCCCCAGCCTCACCAGCATCTGTTGTTTTTTGACTTTTAGATAATAGCCATTCTGACTTGGTGTGGGATGGTATCTCATTGTGGTTTTGATTTACATTGCTCTGAGGATTAATGATGTTGAGCATGTTTTAAATGTTTGCTGGCTATTGGGACATCTTTTTTTTTTTTTTTGAGAAGTGTCTGTTCATGTCCTTTGCCCATTTTTTAATGAGATTGTTTATTTTTTGCTTGTTGATTTGTTTAAGTTTCTTGTAGATTCTGGATATTAGACACTTGTCAAATGCATAGTTTGTGAACATTTTCTCCCATTCTGTAGGCTGTCTGTTTACTCTGTTGGTAATTTCTTTGGCTGTAAAGAAGCTCTTTCATTTAATTAGGTCTCACTTGTCAATTTTTATTTTTGTTGTGATTGCCTTTGGGGACTTAGCCATAAATCCTTTGCCAATGTCAAGAAGGGATTTGTTCTAGGATTTCTATAGTTTGGGGTCTTATATTTAAACCTTTAATCCATGTTAGGTTAATTTTGTAGATGGTGAGAAGTAGGGATCCAGTTTATTCTTCTGCATATAGCTACATAGTTATCTTACACCATTTACTCAATAGGGAGTCCTTCTCCATTGCTTGTTGCTGATTTTGTCAAAGAGCAGATGTTTGCAAGTGTGCAGGTTTACTTCTGGGTTTTCTACTCTGTTCCACTGGCCTATGTGTCTGTTTTTGTCCAAAGTGCTGTACTTCTCTGAAATCAATTTCCTCACCCTTCTCATTTTCCTCATGGCTTTGTCCTGTCTCCAAACTACTATTCATTTTATAATGCAGAAAAATTTATGTATCATTCTTTTTTAACTTCAGCTTATCCATTTCTATGTGGCCTCAACTCTTAAATGACTTGTCAACATTATAATTAGAAAACAATGGCTTTTTGTCCTAAATTAGAACACTTTCTTCTTTCAAAAAGAAATAACTATTAACTATGATGAGATTTTTGTTTAAAAAAATTAACGTATTCCACCCTAGATGATCAGAGACCCTGATTGCCTGATTTCCAATATTAATTCTGTTACAGGCATTCACTGCAAATTTTATATTTGGGTTAACCGTAATAGAAGTTAGGTCTAAGAAAAAGTCGTACTTTGTGTTTCTCCTTCTTTTATCTTTTATTTGACTTTCAGCCAGAAGGACAGCAACACATTTTATTTCCAGCATTGTCACTGGGTTCATAGTCAGTTGTTGTGACAGTACAACTACTAACATCAGTATCAATATCTTCCCTGGGAGTACAGCAAAACTAGACTCTTACCTTTGGGAAGACTTGGTCCCTGTCAGTTGTTTTTAAGTTCAAATACATGCTTTGTGAGAAGCTGCAGATTCTGTATGCAAAACTTGTCTTCTTGAAATGAAGACTATCAGTGCAGATGGTCTACCTTTAAATTATATCTGATTCTTTCTTCACACCTCCCCATGTTTTAATTATGCTGTTGTTTCCCAGAATATAACATGTTTTTCATGAATACCTGACTGCTGCTACTGCAGCTGACACTCTTCCCATGATAGGTAGCAAGTTATGAAGCAGTGACTACTGAGAAGCTACTTATGGAGTGTTGACTATCTTTATGCAACCACTCTTATTCATTTTCTCCATAAAGCTTAAGCACATAAAACTAAGCCCTATTTTTATAACTTGATGTTGGTCATGATTTCCCTTATATCCAGCTATTAAGTATTGGAGCTAATAGCTCAAATGTAACTGTAAGTGCCAACCACTTGGAATAAAATTTATTGTGAATAGCTTCCATTTTCCAAGTTAATCTTTTTTGTTACAACTTCCTGAAATTCATGATTTTATTTTTAGAAATTGAACTCTACTACATATATAAATAAAATGATTCTGGAAAAATTACATTGTTTCTGGAAGTCTCTGTTTCTTCAGTTTTAAAACTAGAATAATAAAGCAGGTTTCTAAGGACTGTATTGTGTATGAAATCATAGCATGTATGTAAAGCAAAGTCGTTAGCTCAAATGCCCACACAAACCAATTGGTCACATGAATTAGTAAATCCAGACAACGAAAGGGACAAGGAGTTTGGAGATTCTTGGAAACCCATAATACATAAAGGTACTCAAATACAAAATGAGTTTTGCTACACAAAATATTAAAGAAGAAAATCTGGCCACAAATCAGGTGTTACTTATAAAAATACTTATAATGCAAGAGAATAAAAAAAGTTAGTTTATTCTTTCACTTTCATTTTTCTTCTACTTCTTACCCTGACCTATTGTTGACCCAGTCTTATAAGTCATAACAAAGAGAAAAATAGAGATGGCTAAAGCATTGTCATGTCTTTAAAGATTACTAAATCTCCTGGGAAGACACATAAAAACATAAAAAGTCAAGAACAATAATGGAACTATAAACCAATGTTTCCTCAAACAATGAAATCACAATGGAAGGATTTATTTGGGGGGATCGTCAGGGAAGGTTTCATAGATACACTAGCATTAGAGCTAGGTTTTGCATAAAATAAGGTAGCTGACGGGAAAAAAAGGTCAAGGACGTCCAAAATTACAGGAACCATTTGTGCAAAAAAAATAAATAAATAAAATGAACATATGTGGCAGTGATTCACCAACCTTAGGGTCTCATACTAAACTAGTTATACATCCACAGAGTATGTTCTGCAGGCCATAAGAAAATAAGATAAGATAAGCATAAGATAAATGCTTACCTGGAATCTTCAATTATTCAGCAGTATGTTGAACTCCTAATGCCTTTACCAAAGATTTATTCCCAGCATCTGAAGTAATTCGAAAGGTTGTTTTATTACATTATATATTAAATTTTAAAAACCCTAAAACTCAGCATATTTTAATGAGTTTCAAAAATATAATAATTTGGGGGGAATTCTTTGGGGATAATCTGTAATTACTATTGGCATTCTTTATCTTCTCATTCATGCCAGAGGGCACCAGCTTTCAATGTTAGCGATTTTGTTCTTTGACTTCCTAATGGTTTACCGCTTTGTGTCATGAGCTTATTAACTCAGACGTGGACTGTTATAATATCCTATTACCCTCAGCCTCTTTGTCTCCTTCAATCTACCCTGAATTCATATTTCTAAAACATAATTTTGATTTCATTATTTTGTTGCTCAACATTTGTTGAGCAACAACAAATAATATTTGCCTATGAAATAATACAAATAATAACAAAATAAATAGTGTTCACTTAATTTGGCTCAATCTATCAGTATGAAGGGTTATGTATTGATACATAAACAAGAATAGGAGTGAATAAGATATGAGAAAAGCAGAACAAGAAGAGTGTTGGTTTAGAGTCACTAGCACCTTCTGAATTTAAAGCAATTTCAACAGTTACTTTTGTATGACTTTAGAAACTACCTAGCATTTTTCAGTTTGGGTTTCCACAACTAATCAATCATTTTTTAAGAGTTGTTTGAAGTGTTGTGGTGGAGAATAGAGATAATGTAATAGATACTCCAGTGTTTGTGGAAATGAACAGAACTGCACCTGGCTGAATTGACAAGTTCTGGCAGCAGAAAAAGAGAATTTCAGAAAAATGTCCCAGAAGAGACAACAAGACCGAGAGGTATTCATAAAGAGAGCTTCCAGGAGATAAACAGGGCACCAGAAGAGATTGGCAGCAGGTAATAGGAAGAAAGGACAAAAGTCAGGGAATTGGTACCGGGGAGATGGCCTTGTAAGAAACAGATTTAGGGAGTCTACTATCAGGAAGAAAGGATCCAGATGAGTGATTAAAGTCAGAAATTTCAGCAGATAAATGGTAATTCAGTGTCAGCGAATGGAGTTGTCAGGGTACAATTGAAGTACCAGAAGGCTAAGACAAAATGTGAACCAGTTGCAAGACTGAGCTAATCCCTGATCCTAACTTCTTACGTTATGAATATAGGCACTTTAGAGTTCCCTTACTTCGGAAGCATGTTTCCTTCAGAGTCCAGTGATGGTAGAATCAGTACCATCAGGGCAATGACATCTGGAATCAATTTTATTACCCTGGGAGTGTTTGGACTAATGCAGAGATAGGGATCCAATCCAGACTCCTAGGAAGCTTTTTTATTAAATTTGAACTGGACACTCTAAGGTTTTCTTAATAGTTTGAGATTTATAAATATCCTTTTCATTTATAAAGGAGATTTTTCACTGCAACTGTATAATCTGTGTGGACTCAAAAAGTCAAATGTATTCTTCTTCTTCTTCTTCTTCTTTTTTTTTTTTTTTTTTTTTTTTTTTTTTTGAGATGGAGTCTCGCTCAGTAGCCCAGGCTGGAGTGCAATGGCGTGATCTCAGGTCACTGCAACCTCCGCCTCCTGGGATCAAGTGATTCTCCCGCCTCAGCCTCCCCAGTAGCTGGGATTACAGGCACCCGCCATCGTGCCAGGCTACTTTTTGTATTTTTGTGGAGACAGGGTTTCACCATGTTGGCCAGGCAGATCTTGAACTCCTGACCTCAAGTGATCTGCCCGCCTCGGCCTCCCAAAGTGCTGGGATTACAGGTATGAGTCATCGCGCCCAGCGAAAGTCACATGTATTCTTAAAGAGGACACTATAAAGCAATGGTCTATAGAGAAGAAGATACATGTATATCGGAGCTTCCAAATTTGTGATTGGTATTGGAAATAAAGAAAGATGCACCCAGAAAATTTAGACTGAACCTGTTTAAGAAAATCCTTAGTATGTTCTAAGCACTTTTATTTACCCCATTTTACAGATGCAGAAGCTGAACAAATCAAGTTTAAGTAATAGACTTCAGTTCATGCATATAGGAAGCAGAATAATCAGGATTTGAACTCAGAAAATCTGTGTGGAAGACTCCATGTTTGTAATTACTATACCATCTGTCTAATTCTATTTTCTTCAGCGATTAGTGTTCATTAGGAAAAAAAAAGCAAACACATTTCAAGTCTAAACAAAAATAACTGCAGATGCAGATTTCTTGCATAATACCTTAACAACTATTTGTGTAGCTCATGATTCTGTCACTCAGCTGAGTGGTTCTTTTGGTCTGAATAGGCTCAGATGATCTTTATGGAGCATACTCATGTGAACCGTCTGAAAACACCTCATTCACATGTCTAACAGCTGATAGGCTCTTGGCCAGAGTGCCTTCATTCTCTTCCACATTGTCTCACATCCTTTAACAGGTTAGTTCAGGTTTACTTCCATGGAATTGTCAGGATTCCAGTGCACCAAAGGAGTGTGAGCCCCTATGGGAAATTTATTTTTATTTATTTGTTTATTTTTGAGATGGAGTCTTGCTCTGTCACCAGGCTGGAGTGCAGTGGCGCAATCTCGGCTCACTGCAACCTCCACCTTGGGGGTTCAAGCGATTCCCCTGCCTCAACCTCCCAAGTAGCTGGGATTGCAGGCATGTGCCAACATACCCAGCTAATTTTTGTATTTTTAGTAGAGACGGGGTTTAACCATGTTGGCCAGGATGCTCTCGATCTCTTGACCTCGTGATCTACCTGCCTCGGCCTCCCAAAGTGCTGGGATTATAGGCGTAAGTGAAAGCTCAAGACACTACATCAGAATTCTAAAACTGGGGCAATTCTTCCAACTCACAAGGGATATTTGACAATGTCTGGAGAAACATTTTTAATTGGCACAATGAGAGGCTTGCTAATGGCATCTAGTTGGTAGAAGGCAGGATGATAAATATTCTACAGTGAATAGGACAATACTCTTCAACACAGAATTATCCAGTCCAAAATGTCAACAGAGAAATCCTGATCAATTTGGGTCACATTTGTTAATGTTCAATTAGCCAAAGAAACTCATATGGCCAACACAATTTCAAGGACTAAAGAAATAGATTCCATCTCTTGCTGAAAAGTGAATTTTTGGTTATTTTAGCAACTATTAAAGGTGATGTGTTACTTGACAAAAGCAGAAATATTTTTTTAAATGAGGAAATAAGAGACCAAAATGATGAAGAAAGAAAATAAGATGAAAAGGAAGGAGGAGGAGGAGGAAGAACAAAGTGGAAGGGAATAAAAGAATTAAAAAGTATTTAGCAGGACAGCAAACCTGGGGAGGTTTTCATTAATACTTTGCTCTCATGTAATCAGACTTTAATGTACTCATGTGATTATGTGTTATCTTCTTATAGCCTTTAAAAGATGCTTGATTGGCTGAACGTGGTGGCTCACGCCTGTAATCCCAGCACTTTGGGAGGCCAAGACAGGTGGATAACTTGACGTCAGGAGATCAAGACAAGCCTGGCCAACATGACGAAACCATGTCTCTACTGAAAATACAAAAATTGGCCAGGTGTGGTGGTGTGTCTCTATAATCCCAGCTACTTGGGAGGCTGAGGCACGAGAATTGCTTGAACCTGACAGGCAGATGTGGCAGTGAGCTGAGATTGAGCCACTACACTCCAGCCTGGGTGACAGAGTGAGACTATGCCTCAAAAAAAAAAAAAAAAAAGGGAAAAGAAAAGAAGAAGAAAAAAGAAAAAAAAATCCTGCCTTTTGGGTGCATTTTCATGTACTTAAGACACAAAAATAATCTACACCAATAGAACAGCATTAACCTATATATACACAGTATTTAAGGACTTGGTATGAAAAATAATTGCAATTGAACAATAAACCTATCCAGAATGATTACTGTGATATTCATATAGTTCATTAGCCAGAGATCTATCCTTATATTTTGTCTCTATAAATGTAATTATTGCAAAAAACTAAATTAAAATAAACATTTCTTATTGAAAGATCAATAGTTGTGACCATATCATAAATAGAGAGTTTTCTAAGGGAATTGGTTTGTTACATCCATTGTGTTTTGAAACAGTTCTTTAAATCTTGGTCTTTTTTAATTAGGAAGAAGAAACAGAGAAAAAATAAAGAGAATGTTGCTATCTCAACTATCTACTACTATTTTAGAGTCTTCAAAGACACAAACAATTTTTTTAAAAAAACTTTTGATATGTAATGATCTATATGATGTAAGATAACTAATAATAGTGGCTGAATTTTTTGTCACTCTAAATGTTTCCAAATATGTGGGATTTTGGTACAACTGTGTAAAAAACTATACAACTGAAAATTATTTTAATTATTATAACTGATATAGAGTATACCTATAAACAGCTACAAATTATATAAAATACTACATGGTTGAACTATATGAAATTGCTGGTATTTTTTAACCATTTTCTACCTGTACTAGTTATAATAATACATGGGTCAAATTAATATTACTAGCAAACTCAAATTAAGATAATTCATATGATATTTAAAATTTAATATCGTTTAAAGCTTTGACAAATTTAAACATATTGCCTGAAAAATCTTGCTGCTTGATTTGGAGTCCTAAAAGGACAATTTTCTTAAGACTTTATCATGCCAAATATATGTGATCATGTTCTGTGCAAATTAAGATTTACAGCAATGTGTTAGATATCACCAGAAAATTAAAATTTAAAAAGCAGCTGGAAGAAACTTCCCTGTCTTTTCAGCCATAAATTTAACACTGAAGAAGCGTAAGTCTACATATGCCTGTCATCCTCCAACTACTTCTGCACATATGCTATTTTAATAAACGATAAATTTGTTCATAGAAGTGTAAATATTATTTTTCTGTGATAGATACAAGTTCCCCCATGTAGCATCTTTGCTTCAAAATCTTAATGAGAAGCAGTGCAGTGCAGTGGGAATGGATTGCCTCTGGAGTCACATAGATAAACCTGAATTTTAATCTCAGCCCTGCTTTTAATTAGCACTAGTCTAGAACTTTGTTATTCTTACATAACTTCTCAGAGGCCTAGCTTACACTTGTGTGTAAAGTGAGATAATAATGCCACCCTGTATATGTGTTATAAATAATTATACAGAATATATATATATATATATAGAGAGAGAGAGAGAGAGAGAGCACCTTGTTCTGTGTAATGGTATAGTATATGTTCAGTTAATACAGGACAATTTGTTTTATTGTGCTTCACTTTATTGTGCTTCACAGATACGCTTGTTTTACAGATTGAAGGTTTTTTTGGCCAGCCCTGTGTTGAGAAAATCTATTGGCACCATTTTCCCAGCCGCATGTGCCCACTGTGTCTCTGTGTTACATTTTTATACTTATTGCAATATTTCAAATGTTTTTATTATTTTTATATCTGTTATGGAGATCTGTAATCAGTGACCTTTGATGTTACTATAATTGTCTCGGGGTGCCATGAACCACACCCATTTAAGGTGGTGAATGTCATTAATAAATGTTATGTGTGTTCTAACTCCTCCTCAGAATGGCCGTTCCCCCATTTTTCTCCCGCCCCATGGCCTTAATATTCCCTGAGACACACAATACTGAAATTAGGCCAATTAATGATCCCACAATGGCTTCTAAGCATTCAAGTGAAAAGAACAGTCCCACATATCTCACTTTAAATCAAAAGCTGGAAATGATCATACTCAGTGAGGAAGGCATATCAAAAGCTCAGATAGGCCAAAAGTCTCTTGAACCAATGGCCAAGTTGCAAATGCAAAGGAAACGTTCTTATAGGAAATTAAAAATGCTACTTCCATGAACACACAAATGATAAGAAAGTGAAGCAGCCTTATTGTTGATAAGAGGAAAGTTTTAGTGGTCTGGATAGAAAAATCAGACCAGACACAACATTCCCTTAAGCCATTGCTTAATCCAGAGCAAGGCTCTAGCTCTCTTGAATACTGTGACGGCCAAGAGAGGTCAGGAAGCTGCAGAAAAAAAGTTAGAGGCTAGTGGAGGTTGACTCAAGGTGTTTAAGGAAAGAAGCCATCTCCATAACATAAAAGTGCAAGGTGAAGCAGCAAGTGCTGATGTAGAAGCTCCAGCAAGTTATCTGGAATAGAATATCCAGCTAAGGTAATCAATGAAGGTGGCTACACAAAACAACAGATTTTCCATGTAGATGAAACAGCCTTGTATTAAATGAAGGTATCATCTAGGACTTTCATAGCTGGAGAGGAGATGTCAATGTCTGGTTTCAGAGTTTCAAAGGACTGGCTGACTCTCTTGTTAGTGGCTAATGCAGCTGGTGACTTGAAGTTTAACCCAATGGTCATTTACCATTCCAAAAAACTTAATGTTGTTAAGAATTATGTCAAATCTACTCTGCCTAGGTTTTATAAATGGAACAACAATGCCTGCATGACAGCACATCTGTTTAGAGCATGGTTTACTGAATATTTTAAGCCCACTGTTGATTGTTACTATGCAGGAAACAAAGATTTCTTTCAAATATCGCTGCTCATTGACAATGCTTTGGTCACCCAAGAGCTCCTAAGCAGATATACAAAAAAAATTAATATTGTTTACATGCCTGCTAACATAACATCCACTCTGCAGCCCATGCAACAAAGAGTAATTCTAATTTTTAAATCCTATTTTATTTAAGAAATACATTTTCTAAGACTATAGCTGCCATAGATAATGATTCTTGTGATTAATCAGGGCAAAGTAAATTGAAAAATTTCTGAGAAGGATTCACCACTCTAGATGCCATTAAGAGCATTCGTGATTCGTGGAAGGAGGTCAAAATATCACCACTAACAAGTTTGGAAGAAGTCGATTACAATCTGTGTGGATGACTTCGAGAGATTCAAGCCTTCAGTGGAGAAAGCAACTGCAGATGTGGTAGAAATAGCAAAAGAACTAGAATTAGAAGAGGAACCTGAAAATGTGACTGGGGATGATCGAACTTTAACAATGAGGAGTTGCTTTTTATGGATGAGCAATGAAAGTAGTTTCTTCAGATGGAATCTATTCCTGGCGAAAATGCTATGAACATTGTTGAAATGACAACAAAGTATTAAGAGTGTTACATAAACTTAGTTGATAAAGAAGTGGCAGAGTCTCAGAGAATTGACTCCAATATTCATGAAAGAGCACTCAGTCAATGTGGCAAACTTCATTGTTGTCTTATTTTAAGACATTGCTGCAGCCACCTTAGCCTTCTGGAACCACCACTCTGAGCAGTCAGCAGCCATCAAGGTTGAGGCAAGACCCTCCACCAGCAGAACAATTAACGACTGGCTGAAGGCTCAGATGAACAGTAGCATTTGTTAGCAATAAAGTGTTTTTAATGAAGGTATGCATGTTGTTTCAATAGACATAGTGTTATTAAACACTAAATAGAATACAATACAGTGCAAATATGTCTTATATGCATTAAGAAACCAAGAAATTAATCTGACTTGCATTATTGTGATATTTGCTTCATTTCTGTGGATCGCACCTGAACCCAAAATATTGCTGGCATTTGCCTATTAATTAATTACTAATTTCTATTATTATTGCACGTATTTGTATATTGAAAGTCAGTATGTATCAGATTGTAATTACATTTTCTACATTGTGCTTTATATTATCCCTTTTTAGCTTCCAAGATTTATGAATTCTGACTACAAGGAGAAACTGAGGAAAGCATTCTGAGGTCTGTCAATTTTATCTTATTATTCCCATTCTTGTTTTTCTCTTCTCTAGTTTTTTTTCCACTCTGAAATCTTTTTCACTTCCCCTACATAAAACATCACCCTTGATTACAAATCTTTTAAAACTTAGACAATGATTTTCTAATATCTTCAATGTATAGCTTTAAAAATAAAATAATTTATAGGCAGACAATGGAAAATAGATTTAGAAAAATTATCTTGATGTTGAAGTAGCCTTAGTTCCTGACTAAACCACAACTCAGTATTATGAGCACTTATGTCTGAAAAAATAATGTGGCTTCTTTGAATAGTGCTTGGAAAATATTTCCTCTGCCTTCCCAATATCCAAGTAATTTTCAATGTGTCTCAGATATGAGAGATAACTAAAATGAATTTAAATAAAATGCCATGTTCATTAATTCTCTCTCTAAGGAAAATATGATACATAGTAAATACTCTTCTCATTGATTACTTATAGTGTGTAAAATAATCACTTTATAAAACTTGAAGGACAGAATCATAGCTATCTGTAGACTACAAATAACTCCAAATAAAATATTTCAGCACAAATCTTTGGTGACTGGCTGTAGCAAGAAGGCAATATGAATTGATGGGCTCATTTATCTCTATCTCTTCAGAGACCACTTTGTATTTTTCACTGACTACATTAATACATTCTGCATGTTTGACTATGAATAGTCACTGCTATGAGATACCTTTCAACAGCCCAGAACAGTTTAATATTATCAAGGTTACAGCTGTACTTGTTCATAAATAATTCATTTAAAATGTGTTTTTTAATTAAAAAAATAGGTCATATGATTCATTTTGCAGTCCTACGGGTCGTCAGTAGATCATCTGGGGATGATTCATTAATACCTTCTCTAGAATCTGCAGTTTGCTAGCCCACATTTGTTCATAAATGAACTGAATAATAACGCCTACGACTCCCAGGCTTTCATTACAAAACTCACAGAGGCACCTTTGACTAGCACCTCCATGGATTTAAAAACAATATGGGATTATCATATTCCAATACACAGATATCAGCCATGTGCTTCTTGAAAAACCTTTGCCCATTTGTCAGTCTAAATTGTAGTTCAGACTTGGCAGCAAAGAAAATAGGGCATCATATTTTTACTTACATATAACATTACTGGTAACTGTAAACTGACAAAATAAAATAGAAAATACTTTAGAATATCTGTGGTTACATTATCTATCCCTGCACTTGAGGTCTTTGGAGTACATGATTTTAAAATAGATTACTTACTGCAAAGCCTATTTTCAGAGATATTTTCATCTCTGTCTTCAAAGATCACTAAATAATGGCCAATAACCTGACAGGTAAATAAGATTCTCTTAAGATTTGGCATACGAAGATGCACATAAACTATTTAGGAATGACTATAGCTTTACATGGTCTGCTGTAGAACCCAGCAAAACTCTAGTAGCATCAATGGTCAAATGCCCTTTACAAAGCACAGATCATCTGAGCAATTAGTTCACCTGCCACAGGTACTGAGGCTGCAGATTCAGTCTCTATACATTTCCCTTTTCTTTTTTTTAAACTTGTATTTTAAGTTCAGTGGTACAAGTGCAGGTTTGCTACATAGGTAAACTTGTGTCATGGGAGTTTGTTGTACAGATTCTTTTATCACCCAGGTATTAAGCCTAGAACCCATTAGTTATTTTTCCTGATCCTATCCCTCCTCCCACCCTTCACACTATGAAAGGCCCCAGGGTGTGTTGTTCCCCTCTATGTGACCATGTGCTCTCATCATTTAGCTCCCATTTATTAGTGTACACATGCAGTATTTGGTTTTCTGTTCCTGTATTAGTTTGCTAAGGATAATGGCCCCCAGCTCAATCCATGTCCCTGCAAAGGACATGATCACACTTTTCAAAAGAAGACATACGTGCAACCAACAATCATGTGAAAAAGTCTCAATGTCACCTATCATTAGATAAATGCAAATCAAAACCACAATGAGATACCAACTAACACCAGTCAGAATGGTTACTATTAAAAAGTCAAAAAATAACAGATGCTGGTGAGGTTGTGGAAAAAAAGGAATACTTTTACACTGTTGATGGGAGTGTAACTTAGATCAGCCACTGTGGAAAACGTTGTGGTGATTTCTCAAAGACCCAAAGACAGAAATATCATTTGACACAGCAAATTCCATTACTTGGTATATACTCAAAGGAATATAAATCATTCTATTATAAAGACACATGCACATATACGTTCATTGCAGCACTATTCACATTAGCAAACACGTAGAATCAACCTAAATGTCCATCAGTGATAAACTGGATAAAGAAAATGTGCTACATATACACCATGGAATGCTATGCAGATATAATGAATTCTCTTTTCTTGGCAGAGAAAAAAAGTTCAGTTCACGTCCACAAATACACACCTACATTTATCTAGCAAGGTAATATGGCTTAGGCTATATGGCTTGTACCATCAGTTATGCCTTTTCTCCCATGTGTTTTCAAACTCTCTCTCTCTTTACTGTTTTTTTTTTTTTTTGGACATCTCTAAGACTTTCTCATCTTGAAAACTTAATTATAAAAATACAAATTCCATTGACTTTGTTCCTGTATCTACTAAGTGTACCACTATGTTTATTCTTTATTTTTACGACAAGATCACCTCCACTTTTTTATTGCTCTGCTTAATGCAGTAAAACACTCATACCACATTACTCCAAATAATTTGTTCACTAAGGTCGTTAATTATACATTTCAAAACTCACTGAACACTTAGTAGTCCTTCTTTTGTTCTCGCTGTCCTAACATTTGACATGATGACTCATTACAACTTTCCTTGCTTGTCTGACATCACTATTTCCTTCTACCAAGTTAATTAGCTCCTTTTTAGCATGTCATATGAATTCTCCTGTTTTCCGTAAACATGTGTTTTCAATGCTTTTATTCCTTATACATTGTATGTCTTGGGCATACAATCTAAATGACCAAATCTAAATGACTGGGCATACAGCCATTTAGGTGACTAGATTCAATGTTTTTCAGAAATAACTTAGATGTTGTTACATCCCAGTATACATTTCCAAATCATTAACTGGTAAGATTTCAATTTATCCAATCACTTATTGCAAATCTCCACTTAGCAGTTTCAGATACATCTCAAACTCAGTGCTTAATATAGACAGCATCATCATTTCCTCAATCTATTCTTTCTCCTTTCTCAGTAATAAAATTATTGCTTATGTTCACCCAAACTACAGAGAAACTTGAGTTGCATTCAATTATTGTCCAGGTACAGACTGCTTTCAGCCCTATCTAAAACCAGATGTGCCATCTCTCCCCCATAACCTCTCTGCTAGATAACTAGGATATAGCCATTTTCTTGAGGTTTATAGATGCCCCATAATGTAAAATAGTGAAAATATTCCACAAGTGATAAACTGGACATAGACATGAAACAATATCATTTAATAAAGAGACATATATGTGGGCCTAACTCCTGCTGGGTGGCATTAATCTGAATGAGCTCCTGGTCAAGGGAAGATTTCATCAGGCACCTATGGCAAGGGCAGCCGTTATATATCTGGGCACAGAGGCAGGAGTAGTAATGTCTCTACTTTCAAATAGCTCTTACAACAGAAAAAAAGCCCTTCAAATAAGCCATTTACCATAATGTTTTCTAGAAGTCTTTTAACTCTAGCCCTATCTTTAGAGATTTTTGAACATGCTCACCCCATTTTCCTTCTTCCTCCTCTTCTTGATATGGTGGTAAACCAAAACCAGGCAACCATCTGAGCTTCTGTCTGTTATCCTTAACATTTCTCCATTGAAAATGAATATGGAACTACCTGTTAGAATTGCAGAGAAGGGAAAAAAACAGGAGGAAGAAAATTGATTTCATAAGTAACTTTACTCCACACTAACAACAAGAATAATCATAACCTCTCTTCCCTCTTCATAGGCCATTGCTATTTTCCCCTTTTATTGGCCAGGAGCGACAATCTATAAACGTTCGATTTTTTTCCTCATCACTAACCACATGAGGACTCAGATGCCAGGGTGTGTCTGTCTTCTCCCCAGCTCCATGTAGTAAGTCATCATTTGGTTGTATTACTCACATATAGAAAATCCATATCAAAATCCATAGCACTTTTGACATTGATCAACATTTACATTCATATCGTCAACATATGTCCCTCACATTGGCCACGGACACTGTACTCTGGTACCTGCTCTCTTCCTCATCCCCATTCATAACAGTCACCACTGCAACCTTGTCATTGAACTCTTTGACCCCTTCACATCTCAAGTGATCTGATATTCCATCATAGTCTCCCTTTTGTTTCTCAGAATAGGTTGGCATTTTTTCAAACCTCTGCTAGTATTCCTGTACTTGACCATAACCTTCACCCTAGATGAATGAGCAATCACAGAATATACCAACCAGTTATTTGAGAATCCTTCTGCAGCAATATCCATTCCTGCCAACAGAACTCATGTACCTCATCCCCAAGAATTTACAATGCACTACATTTCCTCCTTTCACTACAACTATGGTTTTTAACTTTGCTATTTCTCTTTCAAAATAATATCTAGCAGACAGACAATACCTGAGGAAACTACCAGCTACCCAACTTTAAGCCACATTTCAGATTGTCAAGGGCAAACCCATAGAGTGTATTGCTTTTCAGGTGACATAAATCCAATAAAAAAAATCTGGTTGTACTCCACATTCATATAAATCATCCATGCATAATAAATGGAAGAGGACCTCAACTATTCTCAAGTGTAGAGGATACTGACCCTGTAACATTATGACTTCAGTTTTTCTCCATCTTACACCATTCTCTGTCATGTCTGAGCCAGTGATAACATGTAAATCCAATTGGAGATTAGACAATAAAAATACAGTAAGCTAAGCACTTGCAATAAACTGTGTCATCTCCATATTTGGTGCCTGCTGTACTGATTGGAACATACAGATTATAACTGACCTTAATAATCCATCTTTCAATCAAATATGTAGAGAGCTGGAAGCCTTACGAGAATCAGAGATAGAAGAATATATATAACATTAAGATGTGATAGCACCCGAAAGAAAATTTAATGTCAAGCCAAGGTTGTAATTTAAAGCACTCAAGGCATAGCCTTATCTATAGCTAAGGGATTATTTAAAAGTCTACCTCTGTAAATGACACCGAGATTCACATCCACCTCTCTGCTTTGAGCAGTCTTTGTCTCTGCTTTAATTTCTTCAGTCTCTGTAATGTTGCCTTCTTACCTGGATGTTCCCTGTTCTTTGTACTACTTTTGTTTGAAGACATATTTGGAAATTCTGCCCAGGTTGTGGTTTTGCTGGTCCCCTGACATTGCTTCTTGATTCACAGCTAATCTGGCTCCTGAGCAGGATGTTCCACCTTCTCCCATTATTCCACGTACAAAACTGTACATTCAGTTCAGACACGAAAAGTCTCCAAGATATAGGATTAAAGTCATTCAAATTGTTGTAGTGCCTGAATAGATTTCAAAATTAAGTCTCTCAGAAGCTCAGTGATTGGCCCAGGATTACAATGTAAGATAGTAATAGAAAAGTTACAGCTAGTGTCATTTGTGGATTACTCTAACCTAAGACGCAGATGATATGATGACAGATTATAGATAGTTCACAAATCTATTCACTACTATACTGGATGTTAAAAACTTGAAAAGAAATTTGGGAAGGAAATAAGATGGAAATTAATATTGACAAATACTAAGTATTGAGTTTTAATTAAAACAGAGAACTAGGACAGATAAGAGCAAGAGTACGGGAAAGAGCGTTCACTTCAAGAACTCTGATAATTTGATTAATAAAAAGAAAACTGTGGCTAAAATGCTTCCGAAGTAAAATATATATATATTTAAGTATAAATATACATAAATAGATATAGTATAATATATTTAAGTATAAATATACATAAATAGATATAGTATAATATATTTAAGTATACATATACTTAATATATATATTTATACTTAAATGTATATATTTATGCTTTATATATATTTACTATATATATAAAGCCATAGCAATAACAGTTCAGAGAGGCAAAACTTGGTGGTATATACTCACTATTTCACAGAGGAGAGAAACCTTGAATCTGGAGGACATGACCATCTTGTTCAATGGGAGATATACTCTGTTATTGAGCAAGGATTATTCATTAGCCTTCTCCTTGATTTGAATCAAATATCTGTCACTGTTTTCTTCCTCTCTCTGCTCTGAGCCCAAGCTTATGAACTTACTTTCTGATATCTAAGCCCCTGTTTTTTTTTTTTTTTTTTTTTTTTTTTTTTTTGAGACGGAGTCTCGCTCTGTCGCCCAGGCTGGAGTGCAGTGGCACAATCTTGGCTCACTGCAAGCTCCGCCTCCCAGGTTCACGCCATTCTCCTGCCTCAGCCTCCGGAGTAGCTGGGAGTACAGGTGCCCGCCACCACGACTGGCTAATTGCCTCTGTTCCTAATATTAAAATATCAATAAAATAGGTGACTTTATTAGAAGGTGAATATAGCCTAGTCTCCTAGAGCTTTTACTGAAGTGTATTATTCATTGTACATGAAGAAATTGTCTGTAAAATGTTATATTAATCTTTGGCATGTAATAACTGAGTGCAAGCAGCTCTAGCATTAAAACTATTGTTTTCCTCAATATGCCAAGTTTAAAATAAAAAACCTTGAGCTGTGACGAATTTCCCTAAAAGTCACATGGCCTGGTTTATTACAATTTGGGTAGCATTTCTTAGTAAATATGCCAATATTGGCATACGCATTTTCAACAAAGTAGTAGACTTAGATTCAATGAAATTCATGTGAAAAATATTTGCCAAATTAGCAATGAAAATTTAATTTGTGAGTTCTAAAGTAATTAGAATATTAAAAGAAAAAGAAATAACAAGCGCAGGAAAGACTGTATGTAGAGACTTGTACAGGATCGTAAACTTACTGGTGTGACATTTGAAAGAGAATTAGAGTTACTGTGATGGCTATTTTTGAATATGTGAAGGATTACCAATTGCTAAAGGGAGTTGATTTGTTTCATATGACTCTAAGGGGACAGAACCCCAAGATCCATGAGTGAAAGTAAAAGGGAAATAGATTTTACTTTTCTCAGTGAAAGAGGCTGCTTAATAGGATGGTGAGTTTCCAAAATGTGAGCTAGGCAAAAGAGCCTTCTTCAGTGATATTTTATAGAATTCCTATAATCATTAAAAGTTGAACTCAATAAGTTCTAAGTGACAGTCCATCTTGGAAGGTTCTATGATTAATACACATAGTGGAATATTAGATAGATAACCTGTATATTTTGGCTTCTGGTCCAAGATTCTCTTTCTTGTTTTCTCTTCTGGTCTTCAGAAGTGATGGGTACTCAAAATATCCAGACTTGATTATTACACATTCTATGTGTGTAAAAAATTATCACTTGTACTCCACAAGTATGTAAAATATCTTGTATGAGTAAAAGGAAAAAAAAATAAAAAGACACTGAGAAGATATTTGTTTACCTGTCTGTTTGTTACATCTTCCTTTGCATAATTGTGTTCTGAGTTGAAAAAAAAAGAAAGCAATGTACTTCAAACAGCATCAAATTATTATTACCCACACAAAAACAATCACTTGCAGGCTAGGTAAGGAAAATGCCTCCTGAGTATACCTTCTTTTCTTAGTTCTATGCAGTAGCTATCTGTGGCTGGTAATTGCATGTTTGAAAAGTAACTCACATGAAATATTAGACAGGCAATACTAACTAGTCACTCAAGGATTTTTATTAATCTGCCACAAGCAACTCCATTCCCTTTATGGCAATTAGGGGATAAGCAGATAATTCATTAATCACATACTCAAGAGAAAATAGCTTATGTAGTCTATTTTTGTCTGGATCAAATAAAGCACCAAATGCAAAAATGTTTATTGTAAAGTACTCTTCCCCATAAGAATAAAGAAAATGGGACATAAACTTAGCATTTTAATTTCTATAAAATCCTGTTGTATGTGAAACTGTCTTTTTATTATCATTACTTCATGATATACAGATCTTGGGTTCCCAAATGGCAGGCTAATAGAGAGGGAGCACTAATCATGGAGGCACAGGCTATTAAAGAGTCAAGACTGATGTGAACCAATTAACTGAATGTTAGACATGTCAGTACGATATATCCAATGAAATCTAAAGAGTTGAAAGCAAGAATCAAATAACAAAATGGTGTATGTGATTTGTGCATTTAACAAATCACATCAGAATATACCTAATGTTTCTTTCTAAAAGCCACATGTGACATTTAATTTTTAGATATTCTCTAGGAATGAAGAAAACATTTGATAGCTTCTAACGGTCATATGTATGTTTTGCCATATAATTTAGTATATTTTCACTATACCATTCATATTTATTTTATTTCAATTTTACTGTGTTAATTTATATTAGTGTGATGTTACCTCTATTATTTTAACATTCAAGGAATAAAATATGTACTTGCTTATAATACTATAACAAAATAATTTATTGAATTTATTTCATTTTTTATTTAAAATATTCAATTCTTTAGAAAAGAATTAATTTGATTAATATTTTTTCATAGTCATGCCTTTTTTAAAATTGAGAAGAAATAGATTACTTGACTTTGACCTCCCAAAACCTAGACATTTATTCATTTTGCTCTTGTTATTCAGAAGAACACACACACACACACACACACACACACACACACACATTCACTGAAAGCACATAATAGAATCTGCTAAATGAGCAATAATGAACAGAGCCTCAATGCTACTATCAAATTTAAAAAATAGGGTTCACAGTTGTCTTCTCTGTACCACAGTTTAAACATTGTTATTTGTTCTGCTTTGCTTCTTCTTTTGGAATTCCACTTTAAGCTTTGGAGAAGCCCACATTCACAGTATTCACAGTTTCAAGGATGGTCTTGACTACAAGTGCAAATGTCCAGCCCTGTCAGGCAACTGCCCCAGACTCCACTCCTATACCACTGCAGTCATTACTGTAGGATGGCAAGTCCCTGACCTGCAGATTTGAGTGTTACTCTGCCTACCCCTGACTCTATCCCTCCCCTTCCACTCATTCTAATCTTGAAGACTACCAAATGCACACAATTATTTTTGGTGCTTGGATGAAGAGCAATGGTGTAACAAGGCTAAAATAATAAATTAAATCATGAAGTGCATAGTTTGTCCTGTCAGTTTTCAAGATCTACTGAAAGTTTTAAAGCAGGTGAGTGGATGATGAGTGGTATTTGGCGAAGGATAAATTTTCGATGAAATGCAGAAAGGATTGGGCGTGGAGGGGAGAGTGTAAAGGTAGACATACCAGCACAAATAACTAGTGCTGGATAGAGAAGATATAGAAGGATTACAAACTTTGCCTTGAAGTAGCTTATAATCTTTTTTTGGAAGGCAGCATGAAAGCGTATGAAACATTTTCTCTTTTCTCTAGAATTAGTTTGACAATGCTGCTATCAAATACTGGTTTATCTCAAGATGTAACAACAAAAGATGGGACAATACACACATATGTTAATGATCTGAAGTGTGTGGGTGAGACTATCCATGCCACTGTAAGTCAGTAAATGTAAAACACCAAAGAATGTTAGCTTACTGAGCACTTGGATCCTTCTCAAAGATACCAAATGAAACACAAGACAGAAAAAGAAAAAGGGAAAAAAAAAATAGTAAGGCCATAGAAAAATACTGAAGCTCCATTCTGGGATATTACCCTTTTTACAAACTCAGACATTTCCCTGGCAACTTCACTCTGCACGTATTTGTTTAGGAGAAAGGAATGGGAGAAATAAATGGAAGTAGTTAGCATTTAGGGTTACAAAAACAAGGCAACTGGTAGACACACAGAAGTGTTCATGTTGGACAGCGCTTCTGCTGGCAGTGTTGTTTTCAGAATGTAAAGGGATAACAGAAAATCAGCATGAGAACAGCAGACTTGTCCACAGTGCCTGCATGGAAGAATAGCCTTGGTTTATGAATAAATCGTCTTTGTGTTTCTGGCTCAGCTTTGCCTTGTCTGCCGCCTGATTCAGTCCACATTTTACCTGCTGGCCGCCACCTTTTATATACACGCTAGCACTATTCCTTGGCAGCGTTCAGTTAGGTAACATTACTTAAGGTGCCATTACGATGTCAGTTTAGCAGGAGAGAACAAAATTCTCTATAATCTAAAGGCACAGGGGGGGTGGTTTAATCAAAATGTTTGGCTTTGTCCACAAAACCTCTCCCCAAAGGGCCCGAGGCTGTCCTTACTCCTGTCCCTTAGGGATATGTGTTATTGTCCTGACACACCATCACTATCTGGAAACCCATTCAAAGAACGTTCTGTGACAAGGGGGCAATTTTAGGAGCATCATCCTGTGGGAAGACCACATTGTTTTTTCACTAGCCATGTTGTTTGGTGGATTGTTTTTCTTTACTTATAATACTTATAAGTAGCTCATGTCAATCTACAACTTGAACAGCTAGTTGGTCTATTAATTGTAATGCACCATTTTCACACTGAGATGGCATTGAGAATCTTTGTAGCAGGTATGTCATCACATTGGGTCCCGGACTTGACTGGGTCCCGGACTTGATTGGGTCCCAATATTTGAAGATAAGGTCAAAAGCTGATGTTCTTAAATGCCGCTCTACTGGCAGCCAGAAGCCCTATATGTGTTGCTCTGCATCTGTTTCTCAGAGCCATATAGAATAAAAAGGTTCGCTACCAGTGCCCTTTGTAGACTTTTAGTTTGGTTTAAAACTTGATGTTATGCTGACATCATGCCTTGACTGGTACAGTATCACATTCAGGGACAGAACTTTGCCTCTTCTTTATGTCTAATCTAAAGTAATTTCAATTTGCACCAATGTTGTTTGCTGACATTGAAGCGTATGGAAAAACTACTTTTTTATGAGAAATCAATGAGAAATTTTAATTGTTTAATTTCAAAATATAGTATGAAAATATGCTATATTTTGAAATTGAAAACATTTTATAGATATATTAATAAATTGTATAAATGAAGTTAATTATATCAGAAGCTCATAGAATTGTACCTATTTTGTTGAAAAAGAAACAGAGGCTCAAGTATATTTGAATGTAAGTATCATGGCAATATAAGGCAGAAAAATAAGGATCTGCTGTCTTTAAATGAGGTGTCATTGCATAAACACCATATAATCTTAGAATAAAGTTGATCAATCAACAGAAAATTTAAAATCAAGGAAAATTGGGCTATGAATTATTATTCATTTTTATATTCAGAGAATATGATCGCATCTAGCACATTGTAATACCATAATATGGAATACTGCATGGCTTACAAATACTGAAATATGCAAGAAATATATTTTAAACAAACTATTAAACTTGCCAATTAGGGAATTCAACAGGAGCTAAACACTGAGATAGAACTCTGGAGGACATAGGGAAAGATTGTTAGTGACAGTAACCTAGGGCTGTGGTTGTCACAAAAGCAGAAAAGGAGATGAGACCTTGAGCAAGCAGAGTGGATTAGATCTAAGATCCACAAAAAAAAAAAAACCCTAAGAGCAATAAACGGTTATTTCCTCGGAAACTGTTAAAATAGAAAAAATACAATAAAAGGTGATTTGCAGCAGAAGGAAATTTGTCGCTTTTTGTTGAGCCCTGCCCTCATTCATACCTACCCTCATTTAGAAATTCATTGGTAAAACATCTTTGTGGCTAGACTAAGCATGTTTCTCTTTAGAGAAGTTCTGTGTTTGTTTCTGTCCAGGATCTAAATATATTTATTCAACAACTCTGTACTGCTATTATTGTATATATATTATTTTCAATTTTGTAATAATAAAATTAGAAAATACATGAGAAAATCATTTACCTTGAGCAAGTCAATGGAAAAACTGCAATGATATAATGGAACTTCAGCTTAATGGAGTTTTCAAATAGAAACTATAAAACAAGTCAAGATGAAATAAGCTTTGAAAAAAATACACAATGAATCTCCTAATATTTGAAAATATAGTCTTTGAAATTAAACACTCAATAGGTAAGTGAAGCCACAGATTAGACACAGTGGAAGAGGGATTTAGAAAACACCAAAGAATTTATTCAGGATGTAACAGAGAGAAATATAATGGGAACATATTTCTGAAAGACAAAATATAAAACATGGAAGATAGAGTAATAAGCTACAATAAAATTCTAATACGAACTCCAGATGAAGCAAATGGAAAATGAAGAAGAGGTACTATTTTAGAGGTAAGTTCCAGAATTGATGAAAGACATTGTCTTATGTCAAGATGTCATAACAAGAGTGACACAGACCAGGTGGCTTAAACAACAAATATTTATTTCTCACAGCTCCAGAGGCTGAGGAGTCTGAGACCAGGGTCCCCAACATGGTTGGTTTCTGGTGAGGGCCCTCTTCCTAGGTTCTTCACATGTTGGAGAGAGAGAAAGAGAGAGAGAGAGAGGGATAATGAGACAGAAAGAAAGAGAGAGAGAGCTCATTCAGGTCTCTTCTGCCCATTACAAGGGCACTAATCCCATTATGGAAGTTCTAACCCTATCATCTCATTCAAATCTAATTACCTGCCAAAGAGTCTACCTCCAAATACTATCAAATTGAAGATTAAGTCTTTAACATGTATATTTTGAGGGAACACAAATTATCTTGAATTTGAAGATTCACATCTATAGCAGGCATGAATCTTCAAATTTGAGATAATTAAGTCCAAATGAGGGTAGAAACATGCAGACACACTGTAATGATACTAGAGGAAACCAAAACAAACAGAAAATTGTAGATGCAGCAAGAAAGAAAAAGATGGATTAGTTACAAGATAATGCAACTAGATTGACAGCAAATTTTTAAGCAGAAACAGTAAATGCCAGAGACAATAGAATAATATATTCAAGTGGCATTCAAGCAAAGGCTTAAGGCAGATATGTGAGTTAGCTATTTGAATTTCAGGAGAAAGAGTGGGAGAATATTCAGAGTCAAGGCAATGGCAGTACAAAATCTTTAAGAGCAGAATATGACTTTTTGCTCATGGAGAAGGCCACTGTTGCTACAATAAACTGAGAAAGAGGAGAGAAGAAGCAAATTAGATCAAAGAAGAACAGGGGCCAATTTATGTGGGGCCTCATGACAAGTTAGGACATTCGACATACTTTTAGTGAAGTGAGAAGCATTGCAGGGTTTTGAGCAAATAAGTGACATGATCTGATTACGATGGGTTTTCAAAACAATCTGTTAGGGAGCAAAGGTAATGTTAATAGGACCAAGTTAATATGCTCACTGCTCAGTAACATACCAATACACTGAGACAGTAGAGTTTGCAGCAGAGAAAGAGTGAAAGAGTTTAACCATTGCTAGATGCTGAGTGAGGGAATGGGAGGAGGCCCTAAAATCCATCTCCCTGAGGAGATCTGGAATGGAATGTTTAAGGGGATTGTGGAGGGCAAGGGGATGAAAAATTGGAATTTTTGTTGATTGGTCAGGATGGGGGAATACAATCATCAGAATTTGAAAACTGCATTATTTGGTGAATCACCCCCTCATAGGATCCTTCAGAACAGCTAGTGTCAGTAGTTTCATGGTATGCAGGACCTGAAAAATATCTCAAAGGGAAAGCATAACCTTTCATAATCTTAAAATTGCTATTTATAGAGCTGTTAAGAGGAACTATAATATTAAGACAGAGTCTGCATGATTCTGAGGCAATAGGCATCAAACAGCTCTAAGAGCATGAGTCCAAGCATTAACTAACCTAATGATTAATGCTGGATGTGCAGCAAACTTGATTTATTTTTATTTCTCCCCTTTCTTCTTCCCTGATTAATTTTATAATGTCTATAGGGATGTTTACATTATAATTAGGGAGTCCAGCTAAGAGGCTAACAGTAATCTGGGCTTGGACGCTGGTGTTATAACAGGAAAAGTGATAAAAAGTATTTTGATTCGGGGACTATTTTGAAAGTAAAGTCAATAGAATTTTCTGATTGATTAGATTTAGAATGTGGAAAAAAGAGAGAAATCAAGGAAAATTTAATGATTGTTGTCTTCAGAAGTTTGGAGTATAAATTGTTTTCAATTGTGATGAAGAAGGCTACAAGTGAAGCTGGTTTTGGAAAGGGGATATATTTTGGTTTTAAACATGTCATGTTTTATAAGATAAAGTTTGAATAGAATGAGATTGCTAGGACTGGTATTCTTCACTGACTTTTTTTAGTATCACTTAATCCTGCCCTCACCTTTGTAAATAAAACTTACATTAAAATTCACCAATTACTTTGAGGTTTTTGTTTCCTGCTAGGACAATGAATAATTGATTAACAAATACAAACCCTTTCACTTTCTTGGATCCTTAATGCCAAGCTTTTTTTTAGGTGGCATAAATGGATTTTCAGAATTAAAAAAAAAACAACTTTACTAGATTTAATTAGTGGTGTGCTATTGGAGTTTCATGTGTTTCATCCATGTAACAATCTACTAATCTACTATTGTAGGAATAACTATGGATAAACTATGTGAGTATTTGAGGATTTTTGCTTTGTTTGCTTTGCTTTGTTTTGATTTTTTCCCAAGTTGAAATTCAACAATGGTATATCCCCATAGGATCTAGTAATGTTACTGATCAGAGTCTTATACAGAGAGAAAAGGCTAATGTACACAAAAATGTGTCCAAAGTTATCATTGCAGGACATTTTGTGAAAATGGATTTTCTGATGTGGAACTGGTCAATGAGCTCTATGAAACAGAGAGACAAAGCATGCTTAAAGCTAAAGGATGTCCAGCCTCTCCTAAAAGAGAAAGTACAGCATTTATCTTATTTTTAAAGTTTCAGCTGTGAATTAGTACACACCTTTGAGCTCACATCTCTCTTCCCCTGCCTGTGGGATGATGTACTATGGGGAAAGGAGAGAGCTTCTGCAATACCACTATTTTCCAAAACAGATGCACTCATGTTTTAACACCTATTCAAACAATACCCTTTATAGGTTTCATCCTCAATAAAACATTTGCACTCTAAAACTCAAAATGAATTAAAGAGAGAAAGAAACAAAAATGATAGTCTTTAGAACTACATTTATATTGAAATTTAAACACTCAAGTGAAAGAGATTTACATAAAAGAATATGACCTACATGATATAATGTACATGAGTGAAAATTGCTTCTCAGTTCTTCATAAAATTTTAGCTTGACTGGCAGGTACAACGTAAAAACAATATGCATGTTCTGCTTTCATTTAGATTTTCACTCTCCCATGTCACATTGAATTATATATTTATTTAATATTTTACCACAGCAATAATCACTTCAAAGTATATTAGTGCTGTGCCCTTCTGTGATATAAAAAAATACATGTTGTAGCATGAAATTTTTGCTTTAATCCTTGGTCTAACATGGCCTTACATAAAAGTATATTCTCCATTTATACAAAAAATATAAAATAGTGGATTCATATACCATATGCTTATACAAACACACCATATACCATATGCTCATACATACATCACACTACATAACAGCTGCTATTTGTATAGACTAAATCAACTAAATTTTATCAAATATTCCTGATACTCTAAGAATTGGAAACTAGCATCTTCACTTAATATATATTTAATTCTAATATATGAGCTCATAAGTATTTATTAAACACCTAATCCACGCCAGACAATGTATTAAATAGAGGGCAAAGAAAATAAATACATTTCCACAATATATTGGAACAGAACAATTAATAAATTATGAATAAAAAATTACCATATCATGTATGAACTGTTAACATAGATGTAGACAGATTGGAACATGTGGCAATAGCAAGGCTTGCTTCATCAAACTTGAAAGTTCAAAGCAAGTTTCCTGAGAAGAATGATTTGCTATTATTTGCCAAACTGTCACAAAATAATTACACTTAAGGTACTTTGGAACACAGAAAAATAACATTTTCTTTTTTTTTCATTATACTTTAAGTTTTAGGGTACCTGTGCACAGCGTGCAGGTTTGTTACATATGTATACATGTGCCATGTTGGTGTGCTGCACCCATTAACTCTTCATTTAACATTAGGTATATCTCCTAATGCTATCCCTCCCCCGTTCCCCCACCCCACAACAGGCCCCAGTGTGTGATGTTCCCCTTCCTGTGTCCATGTGTTCTCATTGTTCAATTCCCACCTATAAGTGAGAATATGTGGTGTTTGGTTTTTGTCCTTGCGATAGTTTGCTGAGAATGATGGTTTTCAGCTTCATCCATGTCCCTACAAAGGACATGAACTCATCCTTTTTATGGCTGCATAGTATTCCACGGTGTATATGTCCCACATTTTCTTAATCCAGTCTATCATTGTTGGACATTTGGGTTGGTTCCAAGTCTTTGCTATTGTGAATAGTGCTGCAGTAAACATACGTGTGCATGTGTCTTTATAGCAGCATAATTTATAATCCTTTGGGTATATACCCAGTAATAGGATTGCTGGGTCAAATGGTATTTCTAGTTCTAGATCCCTGAGGAATTGCCACACTGACTTCCACAATGGTTGAACTAGTTTACAGTACCACCAACAGTGTAAAACTGCTCCTATTTCTTCACATCCTCTCCAGCACCTGTGGCCATACTGCCCAAGGTAATTTATAGATTCAATGCCATCCCCATCAAGCTACCAATGACTTTCTCACAGAATTGGAAAAAAACTACTTTAAAGTTCATATGGAACCAAAAAATAGCCCGCATTGCCAAGTCAATCCTAAGCCAAAAGAACAAAGCTGGAGGCATCACACTACCTGACTTCAAACTATACTACAAGGATACAGTAACCAAAACAGCATGGTACTGGTACCAAAACAGAGATATAGACCAATAGAACAAAACAGAGCCTTCAGAAATAATGCCACTTATCTACAAACATCTGAGCTTTGACAAACCTGAGAAAAACAAGAAATGGGGAAGTGATTCTCTATTTAATAAATGGTGCTGGGAAAACTGGCTAGCCTTATGCAGAAAGCTGAAACTGGATCCCTTCCTTATGCCTTATACAAAAATTAATTCAAGATGGATTAAAGACTTACATGTTAGTCCTCAAACCATAATAACCCTAGAAGAAAACCTAGGCAATACCATTCAGGATATAGGCATGGGCAAGGACTTCATGTCTAAAACACCAAAAGCAATGGCAACAAAAGCCAAAATTGACAAATGGGATCTAATTAAACTAAACAGCTTCTGCACAGCAAAAGAAACTACCATCAGAGTGAACAGGCAACCTACAGAATGGGAGAAAATGTTTGCAATTTACTCATCTGACAAAGGGCTAATATCCAGAATCTACAATGAACTCCAACAAATTTACAAGAAAAAAAACAAACTACCCCATCAAAAAGTGAGCAAAGGATATGAACAGACACTTCTCAAAAGAAGACATTTATGCAGCCAACAGACACATGAAAAAATGCTCAGCATCACTGGCCATCAGAGAAACACAAATCAAAACCACAATGAGATACCATCTCATACTAGTTAGAATGGCGATCTTTAAAAAGTCAGGAAAAATAACATATTCTATGCAATAATAAGTTTCCCAGCTTTTTAAATTTTAATAATTAGACTTTAAAAAAATACCCTTTCTCGAATATGACAACCCTAGAGTCAATGTCCAGAATTATTTTCACTGATTTAAAAAATAAATTTTTATTTTTACAAGACTTTAATAATGAGATACAATTTTCATGATTGATAAATATATGTAGTGCCTCATGGAATATTGTGATATCAAAACTAAGTACTTCCAGCTAGGATTCTTATAAGAGGTTACTAGAATAATGAAGGTGGGAAAAACAAAAAAGCCCTAAACTAGGGCAGTAAGCATATACGTAGAGCTTGGCTACAGTTGATTGGATTTGCTATATGGAGGGATGAGGGGGTATGAGATGAAAGCCCTGGAATGACTTAGGATTCTGACTTGGCAGAATGGAAAATGCAGATGGAAAAGCAGTGTTGGGCATATTGAAGTGAAGGCACATGTGGAATATCTAAATATTATGTATAATCTAAAGCTCAGAAAGATTAGAGATTGAGAAGTACTTAAAAGTCACATGCAGATAATAATGATGATAATTAAAATAATGAATACAGATGTGAACATCCAAAGGGAATACATAGAAGCAATTCTAAAAGATAAAGCAGGAATTCAAAGTAATAACAACAGTTAAGGAGTAGGAGGATGAAGGAATATCTTCACAGTGGGAGTAGGAAGGGGACAGAGGAAAATATTACAGTCTTATGCAAAACATGGTGTATTAGTTTGTTTTCACACTGCTAATAAAGACATACCCAAGACTGGGTAATTTATAAAGGAAAGAAGTTTAATGGACTCACAGTTCCACATGGATGGCGAGGCCTCATAATAATGAAGAAATGCAAATGATGAGCAAAGTCACATCTTAGATGGAGGCAGGCAAGAAGGCTTGTGTAGGAGTTCTCTCTTTTATAAAACCATCAGCTCTCATAAGATTTATTCATTATCACATGAAGAGCACAGGAAATACCTGCCCCCATGATTCAACTATCTCCCACCAGGTCTCTCCCACATGTGGGGCTATTACAATTCAAGGTGAGATTTGGTTGGGGACACAGTCAAACAATATCATTCTGCCCCTGGCCTCTCCCAAATATCATGTTGTCACATTCAAAACCAATCATGCCTTCCCAACAGTCCCACAAATTCTTAACTCATTTCAGCATTAACTCAAGTCCACAGTCCAATGTCTTACGTGAGGCACAGTAAGTCCCTTCTGCCTATGAGCCTGCAAAATGAAAAGCAAGTTAATATTTACCCAATGCCTATACCCCTACATACAATGAGGGTATAGGTGTTGGTAAATACACCTATTCCAACTGGGAGAAATTGGCCAAAACAGAGAGCTACAGGTCCGCTGCAAGTCCACAATCCAATAGGGCTGTCATTAAGCCTTAAAGTTCCAAAATGATCTCATTTGACTCCATGTCTCATATCCAGGTCACATCAATGCAAGAGATGGGCTCCCACAGCTTTGGGCAGCTCAGCCTCTGTGGCTTTAGAGGGTACAGCCCCCTCCTGGCTGCTTTCATGGGCTGGCATTGAGTGTCTGCACCTTTTCCAGGTGCTTGGTACAAGCCATTGGTGGAGCTACTATTCTGGGGGTCTGGAGAAAGGTGGCCCTCTTCTCACAGTGCCACTAGGCAGTGTCGCAGTGGGTACTGTGTGGGGCTCCCACCCTACATTTCCATCTGCAATGCCCTAGCAAAAGCTCTCTATGAGGGCTCCACCCCTGCAGCAAACTTCTGCCTGGACATCCAGATGTTTCAATACATCCTCTGAAATAGAGGTTCTCAAACTTCAATTCTTGACTTCTGTCCACCTGCAGGCACATTACCAAGTGGAAACTGCCAAGGCTTGGGGCTTGCACCCTCTGAAGCCATGGCCTGAGCTGTACCTTTGTCACTTTTAGCTATGGCTGGAGTAGCTGGGGTACAGGGCACTAAGTCCCTGAGGCTGCACACAGCAGGGGGCCCCCCAGATCTGGCCCAGGAAACCATTTTTCCTCCTAAGCCTCAGGGTCTGTGATGGGAGGGCCTGCCACAAAGGTCTCTGATATGCCCCAGAGACATTTCCTCCATTGTTTTGGTGATTAACATTTGGTGCCTTATTACTTATGAAAACTTCTGCAGCAGGCTTGATTTTTTTTCCCTAGAAAATGGGTTTTTCTTTACTATTACATTGTCAGGCTGCCACTTTTCCAAACTTTTATGCTCTGCTTCCTCTTGAATGTTTTTCTGCTTAGAAATTTCTTCTACCAGGTACCCTGAATCATCTCTCTCAAGTTCAAAGTTCCACAGATCTCTAGGCAAGGAGCAAAATGCTGCCAGTCTATTTGCATAGCAAGAGTGATCTTTACTCCATTTGCCAACAAGTTCCCCATCTCCATCTGAGACCACCTCAGCCTGGATTTTATTGTCCATATCACTAACAGCAGTTTGGTCAAAGCCATTCAACAAATCTCTAGGAAGTTGCCAATTTTCCCACATCTTCCTGTCTTCCGAGCCCCCCAAGTCCTTAGGAAGTTTCAATCTGTTCCACATTTTCCTGTCTTCTTTTGAGCCCTCCAAACTGTTCCAACCTCTGTCAATGACCCAGTTCCAAAGTTGATTCCACATTTTCAGGCATATTTACAGCAGCACTCCATTACCCAGTATGAATTTACTGTATTACTTTGTTCTAATGTTGGTAATAAAGACATACCCAGACTGGGTAATTTACAAAAGAAAGAGGTTTAATTGACTCACAGTTCCACATGGCTGGGGAGGTCTCACAATCATGTAGGAAGGTGAATGAGGAGCAAAGTCACATCTTTCATGGTGGCAGGCAAGACAGCTTGTGTAGGGGAACTCCCCTTTATAAAACCATCAGAATTCATGAAACTTACTCACTATCATAAGAACACAATGGAAAAGAACCAGCCCCTTGATTCAATTACCTCTCACCATGTCCCTCCCACAACACATGGGGATTATTACAATTCAAGATGAGATTCGCATGGGGACACAGCCAAACCGTATCACATGGAGAAAATATTGCCATGGAATTCAAATTAATAGATAGGTGTGAGAAGAAAATCAGCAGTGTCCATTTGCAGCAGAGATATCCAGCAATGTTAAGGACTAAAACAGGACTATCAATTTCCATTTCCTGTTGAGAAGAAAAAAAAAATTGGATTATGATACTGTGAATAGTGCTCCAATTAACATACACATACGTGTATATAAACGTTTCCTTATCTCCACAATCTAGCCAATACCTGTTATTCTTTTACTTCTTTGTAATAGTAGCCATTCTGATTGGTGTTCGATGGTATCTCATTGTCGTTTTAAATTGCATTTCTCTAATGATCTGTGATGTTGAGCTTTAGTTCATATGATGTTGGTTGCATGTATATCTTCTTTTGCAAAGTGTCTGTTAATGTCTTTTTCCCACTGTTTCCTGTTCTGTTTTTGTAAATTTGTTTAAGTCCCTTATATATGCTTGATATTAGACCTTTATAGGATGCACAGTGCACAAAATTTTATCCCATCCTATAGATTGTCTGTTTACTGCAGCACTATTTACAATAATAAAGACATGGAATCAACCTAAATGTCCATCAGTGATAGACTGGATAAAGAAATGTGCTATATATACGCTATGGAATACTATGTAGCTATAAAAAAGAATGAGATCATGTCTTTTGCAGGAACATGGATGGAGCTGGAGGCCATTATCCTTAGCAAACTTACACGAGAACAGAAAATGAAATATTGCATGTGTGCACTAATAAGTGGGAGCTAAATGATGAGAACACATGGTCGCATAGAGAGGAACAACACACACTGGGGCCTGTCAGAGGGTGGAGAATGGGAGGAGGGAGAGGATCAGGATTTGTAGTAAGTAGGCTTAATATCTGGGTGATGAAATAATCTGTACAACTCACCCCCATGACACTAGTTTACCTGTGTAACAAACCTGTATTTATGACCCTGAACTTAAAATAAGTTAAAAAAAAAGAAAAAAAGCATTGTACCAAATGAGACAAAATGAAGCTATCAGATGCTTGACAATGTATTAAGGATGGTATAGGTGGTGAATAGAATAGTTAATTTTTTTCATTAATTCTGCCTACTTTTAGTGATTTATAAGTGAACAGCTATAATTAATAAGATTTCTTCTAGAGAGAATAAATAACTTCTGATAAATCATGAGATAATTTGAGAAGTAAAGAAAACATTCATGATTTGCCATGAAAATTGTGAAGTATTGGCACACTTCAGTGTACCTCTTGGGTGTTTCTCCGTCCTTTCTTTCTCTGAAGATAAGATGAGTAGACTAGCTCTCACACATTACAACTTGTCTTAGAAAATGTCTTCAAATCTAAGCATCTGAAAGAGGAAGTTTCAGAAATACATCTTTTCAGGGAAGGAAAAATCCCATTGTTTATTTTCAGTGATGCTTGTTGACAGCCCAGCATCTAAAATTGTTTCCAAAACGTTTTGGTCCTCTTTTCTATTTTTGTGTATCAGAAGAATTATCTTTCCAAGGGGATTATTTAAAAGAGTTAATGTAAGAACAAACTAGAACATGTGCAGAAAGGCTAGCTCTGTGTAATATAGTGAAAGAGCAGGCTCCAGGTAAAGATAAAGCTGAGATTTTTCTATTCGATTTTTGAACATAAAATTCAGTCCTTGAAAAAAATGTTGTTTCTTTAAATGATATTGTTCCAGATGCCTTAATTGCTTTTCCAATTTAGTTTTTTTAACAATATATAGAATTACTAGTTTAATAGCAATGAATATTAATATCCCTAAAAGGTAGAATTTAAAAAGCATAGACATTTGTGATGCCATAATTTCTTTCTAATAGCTTGCATTAATGTATTTACATAAGAAACACATTTCACAAACGCACAAGAAAATTAACATTTAACCAACCCCCAAACTTGACTTTTGGGGGTGTATGAAAAGATGTGAAGGAGTATGGTTGTTAATATGATATCAAGTAACCAGTGTAAATGACAGGAAGTAAAAAGCAGAGGGGAAAAAAGTAGATGCAAAACTTCATTGATTATTCAGAAACTTTTTGATATACTTTGGCTGTTTGTTCCCTCCAGATCTCATGTTGAAATGTGATCCTCAATATTGGAAGTGGGGCCTGGTGGAAGGAGTTTAGATCATGGGGATGGATCCCTCATAAATATCTTGGTGCCATCCTCATAATAAGGAGTGAGTTCTTGCTCTATGAACTAACACAAGATCTGGTTGTTAAAAAGAATCTGGCATCTCCTCTGCTCTTTTTCTTGCTCTCTTTCTCAACATGTGACCTGCCTTCCCTTTGTCTTTCCCCACACGTAAAAGCTTTCTGAGGCTTCACCGGAAGCCAAGCAGATGCTGATGTCATGCTTAAACAGCCTGCAGCTTATACATCTCATACCACCCTGTACTGAACACACAAGTAAACAAAGATGAATACAACACGATTTAGACTTACACTACAGTACAGAGAAACAGAACAATAAAAAAATGAAGACACTAAGATGTTAATTGTGTTGTGATAGAATGGATTATGCAAATTGGGACATAAATTCCTTGGACAGAATATGTCCAGAAACACTTTATAATAAAGAATGTCTTTCTTGGGCCAATTATTCAGTAGACTTACCCCTTCCTCAAGTACTGGCACAATACTCTCTTCTTCACAACTAACTGAGCTTCCTATTTTAACATAGTAATTTAGAATAGGGTTATGGTATTCTCAGAAGCCTCTCTCACATAACCTGGTGAATCTTGAAAAAAAAAATCTGTTTACATTAAGTAGTATGGTGAGATAGAGAAATAGATACCCCATTTAACCTGTTGTGGACCTTTCATAATAGTATAACTGAGAAGTGACAGCGTGCTGGCAGTCCTCAGAGCCCTCACTTGCTCTCCGCACCTCCTCTGCCTGGGCTCCCACTTTGGCGGCACTTGAGGAGCCCTTCAGCCCACCACTGCACTGTGGGAGCCCCTTTCTGGGCCCAGCAGTGCCAGCCCATGGCGCTGCGCTCGATTTCACACCGAGCCTTAGCTGCCTTCCCAGGGGGCAGGGCCCGGGACCTGCAGCCCGCCATGCCTGAGCCTCCCACCCACTCCATGGGCTCCTGTGCGGCCGGAGCCTCCCCGACAAGCACCACCCCCTGCTTCACGGCGCCCAGTCCCATCAACCACCCAAGGGCTGAGGAGTGCAAGCACACAGCAGGGGACTGGCAGGCAGCTCCACCTGCAGCCCGGGTGCGGGATCCACTAGGTGAAGCCAGCTGGGCTCCTGAGTCTGGTGGGGACGTGGAGAGCCTTTATGTCTAGCTCAGGGATTGTAAACACACCAATCAGCACCCTGTGTTTAGCTCAAGGTTTGTGAATGCACCAATCGACACTCTGTATCTGGCTGCTCTGGTGGGGCCTTGGAGAACCTTTGTGTGGATACTCTGTATCTAACTAATCTGATGGGGACGTGGAGAACCTTTATATCTAGCTCAGGGATTGTAAATGCACCAATCAGCACCCTGTCAAAACAGACCACTTGGTTCTACCAATCAGCAGGATGTGGGTGGGGCCAGATAAGAGAATAAAATCAGGCTACTCCAGCCAGCAGTGGCAACCGGCTTGGGTCCCCTTCCACACTGTGGAAGCTTTGTTCTTTTGCTCTTTGCAATAAATCTTGCTGCTGCTCACTCTTTGGGTCTGCACTGCTTTTATGAGCTGTAACACTCACTGCGAAAGTCTGCAGCTTCACTCCTGAAGCCAGTGAGACCACGAGCCCACTGGGAGGAACGAACAACTCCAGACGTGCTGCCTTAAGAGCTGTAACACTCACCGCGAGGGTCCGCGGCTTCATTCTTCAAGTCAGTGAGACCAAGAACCCACCAATTCCGGACACATAACCATTACTGGTATTGGTAATAGTAGTAATAGTCATATTACTATTATTATCCAAAATTTGAATTTTCTAAGGATAGAATTAAGCTGTTTCTTAAATCACTGTAGAGTAATTCATTGTTACAAGGGAAATAATTGCCAATTTTTTATTGTGGTCAGAAATATGAAAATTATGTTGAAATAGGGAAAAGATGATCCACAAAGCAAACTAAACAGGATAAACAAGAACCAATCTAAATGGATCAGGTACTAAGACAATATTGAGTCCATAGGATAATATACACAGATTGTCCAAGCCAAGATTAGAATACCCGAGATCAGTGTTAGGGGCCAGAGGGAAATCACTCCAGATCAGAATCACAGGCTCAAAAGATGGCAAGTTCATTAAAGGACAGGCAATTTCTCAGTGATTTGGACCCTAACATTAAAACGAAGATTCAGTGTAGGAAAAAATGTGTTCACCTACCAATGAGCTCTTGACAGATCTTGTTCCTAAAACCAAATCAGAAAACTGCTAGACATATTATTTCATAAAGTAGTTAGGTATTACTACGCAAATTTCCATTTTTTAAACATATAAAAAATAAAAATTTTATATTACAGCCCTAGATATTTGCATTCATTTCAGTAATCCAGCATTTTGATTATTCATCCTTAGTGTTAATGTTTGATAATGCTTAAATCTTGGAAAGTATCTTAGAGATTATTTAGACCCATTCCCTTATTTTACTCATGATAAAACTTAGATCCAGAGTGGTAAAGTGACGTTACAGGGGTAAAAATATAGTTGGTGTTAAAACAAGAATTAAATCCTTTATATCCTAACCTCCAGTATGGTGTATTTTTCCAACATGCCACTCTACACGTGGGTGTGAGAGTATGTGAACACAAGCACAGTACCTACAGACATACATGAATAGCCCTGCACTAAGAAGTAATTATAACAATATTAAAACTTTTAATTAATTAATTTGTGTAAAAATATATTAATGTGTCATTTCACATTTCTTTATACCACAAAACCCTCGAAAATATGTGTGCAAAAATGTACACTCCAGAAATTATAATTTTACTGAATTCCATCTTAAATATTACTGTACAATGTATATGTGCTTTAGTCGGAGAAACATTTCCTTGACAAATTCCCTAAAACACCAAATGATTTTTACATGATAGAAAAGTTTTTTTTAAAAGAATAAAAAATGATGATGAAGAGAGATGTCAGGTTTCAAGATGTCAAAGAAAGCATTGTGTTCTTCAAGTGTTCCGAGTTTGAAGGGGAGAAATGAATACGCACAGAGGCATTACAAACGAACTTCTTTGCTTGCTGTCATCTTGCACCTTCATAAGATATGCCCCCTACACACACAGCCATCAGCTGCAAGCAGCTCTCATGAATGCAGACAAAGAGGGCAAAAAGATCAGCAGTGCAGACCTGCTCCACCCTGACAGGTGACTGTAAGTGGCACTTCTACTGCTGTTACTAATTTATTAAGTATTCCAAAGTTAGAATTTAATCGGAATATTTTTGTCATGTTATCCATCACACACGTAGAAGAGATGGAATTTTCTTAAACAGCCATGCAGCGCAGTGCCTTAGGCAGGATTTTAGTCATTCCAGTTTGTCACAATGGACTAGTTCCATTTTAATGATTTAGTTAATTGTGTGACAAGCTATGAAAAATGGGAGTGACCCAATGCCTCATCCAAATAATATGCCAAGGAATGAGAGCTCATGGCAAGTGACTGAGAACTGCTCACACCTGCAAATGACAAACAAACCAAAAATTCCTACCTTTTCCTTCTTCCTTTTGAATTTCAGATTTCATATGTTAAGCAAAAGTCAAGTTAGAGAATAGCAGTTCATTTATATAAAGACAAGATGAACACAAAAAAAGTCACATTAGCAGTTTAAATGATCAAGTTAAATAAGATACAATTTAGGTGAAAAGATAATTGTGTTGAAAATACAATGATCCATTTGACAGTGGAAGAATAAAAGACACAGAGAATTTCAAATACAACCTCCCTATCTAGAAGTCTCATTTAGTATTTCTTACAAGAGAACATATGTATTTGGTAGTACTGTTAGTTTATGACTCATCCTATTATTTAATTAAGGAGCATTAATATTATCTATATATGAAATCAGAGATAAGGATCTTTTATAAAAATTATGCATTATAGAAACATCAGTGAAAATAAAAATAAGAGTGTCTTGTCTCTGCTTTGATTTTGTGCAAGAATTTATTGGTATTAACACAATCTGAGACCATCCTGATAATCCCTTCTACAAAAGCATTAAAATTTTTACTCCATCTTGACAGGAAAGTAACAAAAAATGAAATAATGCAATAAATAACTCAAAAATAAGGTAAATAACACATCTTTAATAAAAAGGCAATCAAATAAAAATATCATAACCTGTATGATATCCAAATCAGAAGATCTGGTTTCAAGTAACTGAGTAAAAAAGTTTGAGTAATCTCTCTGAATTGTGGTTTCTGCATCTGTCAAGTTTGACTAATATTTATCTTGCGTGATTGGAAGAGAAAATGTTCATTCATATTAAAGTAATAATGCAGGTTTAGATTAGGAAGTTAAGAAAGCTAAAGGGTAATGTCTCTGGCACGTGAAATAAATCAATAGGCAATAGAAAGCTTAAATATATTGCAACCCATTCCAGGTAGGAATCACTAACTAAAGTGTCCATTTCACAATACTTTGAGGGTACTACTATACCATTCAGAAAAAAAATATAGCAGCATCCATCTTATCAGACCTCAAAGTATTATATGTCCTAAATAAAAAATTAATTGTGAGATCCAATATTGAACAGGCAGATAAATGGAGTGGATGAAGCATCCCATCTTTTCTTTCTCTATTTTTATAATGTTTAGACATTCCACGCTCCCAGTACTCTGTCACCATGCTCTAAAGACTTTTAAGTGGAAAAAATGTGCATTGAAATTGAATGCTGAAATATAGCCAATGACCTGGTCATCACAAGCCAAACACATAGCAATTCTATGACCAGCAACATGTCATCACTTTACAGTGTATATTATACTCATTGTGTTATCTAAATGAATTTCTGAAACACAAAGCAAGCAGCATGCATGCTAACACTTTTTAACCAGATGATTTTTATGAAAATGAGAATAGATGATGACAATCATTTATGGTTAATTTAGTGTGTGTCTTCATAAAACTTATAAAATTTTATATGCAATGTTTTTCTCTTAATAAAAACATGAAAATCACTGTAGAAGAAAGGGTTTTCATTTAAGTAATGTGATTTGACTAAAAATTGTTTTAAGCTATATTGAAAAATGAACTTTAAAAAATTAGATGTATAGGTATAATTTATATTTTTAGAGTTTACATGGTACTTCTAGAATAAATTTATCTATATATACACATAATAAATTAACACATCAGAATACTCACATCTGCATAGAGAATTAGTTTTCCTGAGTACCTACAAAGTCTGCAGTTTTACTGTTAAAATTACACTGAAATGTAATTCATTAATTACTCTAATATTGCGTCATTCTCCTTAGAATCTATTTACAGCTGACTTTTCTTTCAAATGGCCAATGTGATCCATCAATTATTATCAATCCATCAATGTACTATATATCCATATCCTTCCAGATGTGCTTGTTTATACCTCATTTATACCCACTGACCAGGAATTGTGTTTATGTACCAACTGTAGCATTACTATATAAGTAATAATGATACCCCTGCTTACAGTTGCTTAAGGCCTGATATCTTCTGAAGGTTTCCATCACCTTTAATGCTAAAATTATGGAATTTTAAAAGACAGTTTTCTCTGGAGAATATTTTATATTTAAATTTACTCATTTAAGTTAAGATCAGTAGGCTATTGAGTAAGGCATCGCCTTTAACATTTGTTTCTGGGAACCATATCTAAACTGTTCCCATAAAGTATTCAATTGACCTACAAGCATCCCTTAAATGAAAGGTCAAGTTAGGTGACCTCCAAGACCCAGGTCAAAATATTTGATACACAGCCTGCGAACAATCATTGAAAATTACTAGCCCAGAAACCCCTTCCCAAACTCTAAAAATATTGACTCCTACTTTATTTCTCATCTCTCCTCTGATCCTTGTTATTACAAACACTGATGAAGTGTTTGAAATCCCCAAATACCCAGAGATGGTTTCTCACCTGATATCTCTGATGATATGGAGGATCTAATTCTTCCCCTTAAGTGACACAGCATCAAGGAGAGAAAGATGGGAAAAGGGAGGGGCATATGCCTTGGCCAACATCCTATTTCACCTCTCTCGTATTTTTGTTTTCTTAACTGATGTCTGCCAATAATGTCTCAAATTCTCAGCCTCACAAAACAAAGGGAAAATGAAAACAAAAAATAATTATTTGAATTTTCATAATTTGAACACAGCTAGCATATGAAATTAGATATGCAGATCGTAAAATATAGTTCTAGCACAGAATATAAACTCTATTTTTCTGTGACAATAGGAAAAATCAGAAAACTATTAACAAGTTATTAATAGAAAACAAGGAAGCTGTGAATGTCATCTTTAGCAACTAACCTTTTTCATATCACTGCATGGACCCTTAAATATTTTTTGTGCCCTCCCTTTCCTCAGTTCTTATTTCTTTCCTCTTGCTATGAGCCCCTTCTCCTTATGCTTTTACCTAGAGATACCCATACATAAAATTCCCCCATCCCCACTCCCTGTCTCACCTCACAGCCACTCTTTTTAACCACTTAGAGCTGATTTATTGGCAGTATCCAACTCTTCTTAATTCACATCTGTGAATGAGTGACCCCACCCTATCCTCATTCCATAAATACTAATTTCTCCCTTTCTTATAATTTCAGAATCTGTGCTTCTACTGTGCTAATGTGTCAAATAAGGTGAGTTTTTCTCTAAAATATTTAGAGAAATATTTAGACTATTTCTCCCAAATATAGATCAATATTATCTCAGTTTTTTGTGTGTGTGCACATCGTAGCCACCATCACCAACCAATGTATGGTTGTTCCTTGCCTTCAGAAAATTTATTTTCATCTCTTCAAAGCTTTAAATATTTATTAGAAAATCTTAAGCTATCTCAAAAGTGTCTTTTCCTATATATTTATATTTTAAAATATAGAAAGAAACTGTGTAACTGTTTTCTAGTTTACAATGTACCAAAGAATTGAGAAACATTGATGGGAAGTAACAGTAGTTGGTGAAAACAGTACTTGTAAGTAAAATTTTGAAAAACCATAGTTACAGAGAGAGAGAGAGAGAGAGAGAGAGAGAGAGAGAGAGAAAGATCATAAACTAGGAACCCAGTCCCACTGCTTCTGTAACCCACTACCATCCTTTTACCTCTACATCTTTTTCCCTTATTCTGCCAGCATCCTCCTAGATTAGGCTGCCACTTGCGGATTAGGAATAGATTAGCTCCCCTCTAAATTCTTAGCGATTATACCGATTAAAGATGAGGACTGGGTAGTACTGAATAAGGAATTACTAAACTCTCTTTCCAGGAAGTCAGCAGAGGGAATAATTTTCCAGAATCCTCAGCTGGCCTTTCTAATGCATAATTCCACAGAAATACTAAAATACATACTGGATGGCCCATGCAGTGTCATTTATATAGAGCTGTATCCTTCAGTTGTATAATGTGGAGACATATTCAGACTGCCCTGAGACCCAGTCTCCATATTTTGCCTCTGGATTCCAAACAACCAACATCAAAATGACTTTTGAAAATCCAGTTGATTGGCAAATTTGGGATTGTTTGGACCTGTATTCATCACAGGATTATCAAGAAGACTAACGAAGTAGCATATTTGGAAGAACTTTGAGAACCTACTTAAGAAAGCATTACATATGTGTGAAGTATTGTAAAGAGGCAATGGAGGAAAATGTATTGGCTGAGGAAACAATTGGCAACAGGGAGAAGGCAACATTTCTAGCAGCTGGACAGAAAATGTGAAGCAATACTGAGCCAGGTGAATGGAAAAAGGATTTAGTTTTATTGGAGGAAGATGACAAGCGCCAGCAACGTGGAAAGAAGTGGAAAGCAGACTTGACTGTTTGGAGAACATTCTTGGAGAGTACCTGATGAGAATTCCAGATTGTCAACTGGACATTTACCTTAAGTTTCCCAGGTGCCAACTCCTTGCCATGGAATTTCAATAGACATTTGTTTTTAAGGGTGGGCAGGTAAATATTTGCGTTCATATGCCTATGTATAATCTTTTATAAAAGCTATAATAAGAATTATTAAAATATCCACAAAAGATACACCATTCAAAAAGACTGCTCAGAGAGCCAATGTATATTACCCTAAATAATATTGAAAATTTTGATTAATTTAAATTAAATTTCCTTTCTAATTAAATTTATATTAATAAGTGGGCTTTTTTTCTTAGAGATTTTTAGAAGTTTCAATTTATTTAACACCGGTAACATTAAGTGCTAATTGAAGTTTTATCTGCACCTGTGCTACCTTATGTTTAATTAATAATGATGTATCAACTATCACAATACTCAAAGTATCAAAGAAGAATATTGTCAGTAGGTATAGATGAGAAGAGTTTTCTAAGGGGATATAAAATGTGATATAAATGTGACTTTTTGGTTAAAGTGGAATGGTGAGAAGATATATTTATTTGGTAATTTAATTTGTTTGTGTATTAGGTAATTCACGGAACTCAAAAGCTCCATTCAATATTGTCACATTGAAAATATTAGTTCCAATATTTAAGGCAGTAGGGAATGGAAAGATTTCTCCTTGGGCTCACTATCCTGTTGTACTCTTCTGCAGGGTGGCACAGCTGCCATCCCAAAATGACCATAAAATGGGAATTTCCTTTGTTTCTGTTCTGTGCTAGATGCCATCCCTTGATTTCATATTTCCTCTGTTTTAATTGTTCCCCTCATACTGATGAAACAAAACTTTTGTGACCTCCTAAATATTAACATTTTAAGAGTTTTCATTCATAAAAATGACTTCTCAACATCACTCTTGGTTTCATTTCTTCCAGATTTACATATTATATCTCATAAGTGTAATGCTATTCTAATCGCCAAATCGTTGCCAGCCTCATTTTTCTTCTCTGGAAATGTTTGGCATCTTCTCTTTATTGCTGGGATTCTAAATTTTAATAAAGTAAGGTATTATAGTGGGTGTTTAAAATTTCCTTATGTTTTTTGTAATGTGGTGTTTCCTTTTGATATGTAATCTCCTGTACTACAAATACCATTTTAATCATTTTTAATGTACAGTTCAACGCTGTTAAATATATTCACATGGTATAACTATCACCACCATCCATCTCCAGAACTTTTTCATCATCCCAAACTGAAACTCTGTACCAGCGAAACAATAATTCCTCATTTCCTCCTCCCTTGAATCCCTAATAATCACTATTCTTTCTCTTTCTACGAATTTGACATTGTAGGTACCTCATGTAAGTAGACTAATACAATTACACTTATCTTTATTCCACATACTCATTTATCCGTCCAAAGCCTTGTCAATTTTGATTTATTTCACTTAGCATAATGTTTTCAATATTCATTCACGTTGTAGCATGAATCATGATTTCATTCTTTTTGAGGATGAATAATATTCTATTGTAATCTGTACACCACACTTTATTTATCTATTTATCAGTGGACATTTAGGTTTTTTTTCGCCTTTTGGCTATTGTGGATAAGCTTCTATGAACATGAACTACGAACATAAACAAAATATATTTTGGAGTCTCTGTTTTTAATTCTTTTGATATATACCCAAAGGTAGAGTTTATGGATCACATGGCAATGCTACATTTAATTGTTTGTGGAGCCTCCATACTCTTTTCCTTGGTGGCTACACCATTTTACTAAATTTGTGTTGTTTCAAGCCATTAAGCGTGGTAATTTGTTGTGCACTAATAGAAAACTAATAGACTATCATCCCTACCAAATGTCAGCATCTAGAGAATTTTTTTTATTGGAGGTTGTGGTTGGGGGATGTTAGCCAATTTTTACCAGAGGACAATTAACTCTTCCATGTTTGGAGAGCAAAAAGTTTGATAAATGAGTAGGTAAAATAGACCAATGTCTTTATTTCTCCCATTTTCAGTTTGAGTTTTCTCCACCTTCAGATATGCCACATACTGCTTTTTCATTCCACATCTCTAAAGAATGCAACTTCAGTCTTTTTCCTTGGTAGGAGTAGTTGTATTTAGTGGAAAATATATCTAGGGTGCTGATTGCAAAATTATGAAAATAATTTTTAAAAACCTAATGGATTCCCAGCACTTTGGAAGGCCAAGGCGGGTGGATCTTCTGAGGTCAGGAGTTCGAGACCAGCCTGGCCAACATCGTGAAACCCCGTCTCTACTAAAAACACAAAAATTAGTCGGGCATGGTGGTATGCATCTGTTATCCCAGCTACTCGGGAGGCTGAGGCAGGAGAATCACTTGAACCCAGGAGGCAGAGGTTGCAGTGAGCTGAGATCATGCTACTTCACTCCAGCCTGGGAGACAGAGCAAGACTCTGTTTCAAAAAAGAAAAAAAGTAATGGATGTCTGGTACACATAATTTGATTAATATTATTTCTTTGTTTATGAAACATATTAATCTATTAACCATCTTATACCCATTTGTTATCTATTTAGTTTTTTTTTTATTATACTTTAAGTTTTAGGGTACATGTGCACATTGTGCAGGTTAGTTACATATGTATACATGTGCCATGCTGGTGCGCTGCACCCACTAACTCGTCATCTAGCATTAGGTATATCTGCCAATGCTATCCCTCCCCCCTCCCCCAACCCCACCACAGTCCCCAGAGTGTGATATTCCCCTTCCTGTGTCCATGTGATCTCATTGTTCAATTCCCACCTATGAGTGAGAATATGCGGTGTTTTGTTTTTTGTTCTTGCGATAGTTTACTGAGAATGATGTTTTCCAATTTCATCCATGTCCCTACAAAGGACATGAACTCATCATTTTTTATGGCTGCATAGTATTCCATGGTGTATATGTGCCACATTTTCTTAATCCAGTCTATCACTGTTGGACATTTGGGTTGGTTCCAAGTCTTTGCTATTGTGAATAATGCCGCAATAAACATACGTGTGCATGTGTCTTTATAGCAGCATGATTTATAGTCATTTGGGTATATACCCAGTAATGGGATGGCTGGGTCAAATGGTATTTATAGTTCAAGATCCTTGAGGAATCGCCACACTGACTTCCACAATGGTTGAACTAGTTTACAGTCCCACCAACAGTGTAAAAATGTTCCTATTTCTCCACATCCTCTCCAGCACCTGTTGTTTCCTGACTTTTTAATGATTGCCATTCTAACTGGTGTGAGATGATATCTCATAGTGGTTTTGATTTGCATTTCTCTGATGGCCAGTGATGATGAGCATTTTTTCATGTGTTTTTTGGCTGCGTAAATGTCTTCTTTTGAGAAGTGTCTGTTCATATCCTTCGCCCACTTTTTGATGGGGTTGTTTGTTTTTTTCTTGTAAATTTGTTTGAGTTCATTGTAGATTCTGGATATTAGCCCTTTGTCAGATGAGTAGGTTGCGAAAATTTTCTCCCATGTTATAGGTTGCCTGTTCACTCTGATGGTAGTTTCTTTTGCTGTACAGAAGCTCTTTAGTTTAATTAGATCCCATTTGTCAATTTTGGCTTTTGTTGCCATTGCAAAAACTGGAAGCATTCCCTTTGAAAACTGGCACAAGACAGGGATGCCCTCTCTCACCGCTCCTATTCAACATAGTGTTGGAAGTTCTGGCCAGGGCAATCAATCAGGCAGGAGAAGGAAATAAAAGGTATTCAATTAGGAAAAGAGGAAGTCAAATTGTCCCTGTTTGCAGACGACATGATTGTTTATCTAGAAAACCCCATCGTCTCAGCCCAAAATCTCCTTAAGCTGATAAGCAACTTCAGCAAAGTCTCAGGATACAAAATCAATGTACAAAAATCACAAGCATTCTTATACACCAACAACAGACAAACAGAGAGCCAAATCATAAGTGAACTCCCATTCACAATTGCTTCAAAGAGAATAAAATACCTAGGAATCCAACTTACAAGGGATGTGAAGGACCTCTTCGAGGAGAACTACAAACCACTGCTCAAGGAAATAAAAGAGGATACAAACAAATGGAAGAACATTCCATGCTCATGGGTAGGAAGAATCAATATCGTGAAAATAGCCATACTGCCCAAGGTAATTTACAGATTCAATGCTATCCCCATCAAGCTACCAATGACTTTCTTCACAGAACTGGAAAAAACTACTTTAAAGTTCATATGGAACCAAAAAAGAGCCCGCATCACCAAGTCAATCCTAAGCCAAAAGAACAAAGCTGGAGGCATCACACTACCTGACTTCAAACTATACTACAAGGCTACAGTAACCAAAACAGCATGGTACTGGTACCAAAACAGAGATATAGATCAATGGAACAGAACAGAGCCCTCAGAAATAACGCCGCATACCTACAACTATCCGATCTTTGACAAACCTGAGAAAAACAAGCAATGGGGAAAGGATTCCCTATTTAATAAATGGTGCTGGGAAAACTGGCTAGCCATATGTAGAAAGCTGAAACTGGATCCCTTCCTTACACCTTATACAAAAATCAATTCAAGGTGGATTAAAGATTTAAACGTTAGACCTAAAACCATAAAAACCCTAGAAGAAAACCTAGGCATTACCATTCAGGACATAGGCGTGGGCAAGGACTTCATGTCCAAAATATCTATTTAGTTTTAATAAATATACTTCAAGTTAAAAAAATGCTTTTGACAATAATTTATATCTAACTGTGTAGCCTTCCCCAACCCCACCTCTTGGTTTCCTCTCTTCTGAGACAACTACTTCCCTGACTCCTGTGTTTATAATCCCCTTTCTCCTCACAAATTTTTATCTTGATAATCCCTTGATTTCTACATATTTTTATGTTGTTTATAGATATTACAAATATATACATTTTTAGTATATGTGTACATAAATATTGCTATAGGTTCATAAATAAAAGTGTGCATTTATATATTTAAATATATGTATGTAATTATAAATGTATCTTTGTATTTATATGTTTATCTTATTTATTGGAAGTTTGATGTGTATATATGTGTATATATGTATGAATATGTATGTATGCATGTATATATGTATATATTGTACATCAGAGGTTGGTAAACTTTTCCTGTAAAAGACTAGATACAGCTTTGTATGGCTTCTCTTCCAACTGCTCTACTCTGCTGTTGCAGGGCCAAAGTAGCCACACATAATATGTAAACTAACAAGCCTGGCTATTTTCCTATAAATCTGTATTACAAACAGTGAGATGTGCTTTTCTAGGATTTAAGTGCATGGAAACCACTATTATCTCAGGGGCCAACCATACAAAAACAGGTCAATTTTGTCCTTGAGCCATAATTTACTAATATGTGATATACACATAATCACATGTATATTTTATTTTTTAAAATTATAAGAACTTTTGAATTCTATATAATCTTTTTGTGCTTACCTCTTTCAGCTCATATACTATTAAAATATGTCTATATTTATCTGTTATTGTAGTTACTTTATTTTGCTTGCTGCATATTTCATTGTGAGATTATATCAGAGTCCATTTATTCACTCTCCTGTTGATGGACAGTTGAGTTCCAGGTACCTGACACCTCAAATTCCTGAGCCTCTTCTAGGTTCTGTAGTGACTTTAATCTGCTTGTTAACATCCTGTTCTGGCCTCTAATGTGCCAGTTTTTGTCATATGCTAAGTCTATACACCTGCTGTATTTCATATTTCTGTTGACATTACTTATCTGCTGACCTCCTCTTCTATTCTCTTTCTATTTGGTCTTTCAAGTTAATTTTAATTCCTTTAACTTCATTTTTGAGCAAAGAGGATACAGAGGTAACACATTTGTTCCACCATATGTATTGTAATTTACTTGAATCTAGTCTTTATAGATTATTTCAGGAGACGTATTTTAGGAAAGATAAACAATAACCCAGAGGATTCACTTCTGGCATGATGCAGTGAAGAGATCGACAAATTATCTCTTCAAAGAGCAACTATAAAACTGGCCCAAACTGGCAAAAACAATCATTTAAGCACTCGGAAAAATCAATCAAAGGTAAACAGCAAACTGGGGAGAGTTTATAAATGAAAACTACTAAACTTAGCGCAGGAACATCAAGACTGTGTGGTACTCTTCCCTGAGGCTGTCCCCAGTGCCCACCCAATCAGCTCTGTTCTTGTAGGAGTTTAACCAAAGCAGGGCAGCCCTTGAAAACCAGCAAACCAGCAGCTTCAGTCTCATTGCAAGAGTGGGGGGGTCTCACTTTATTTGGAGTTTTATCATTTAAAGTGGAAAGCAAACAAGGTGAGCCAGCAACTCAGCTAGTTTTAGGTTGCAGCAGTACGAGGGCAAACAACAGACACAAGAACTATTGAGTAATTTAACTGGGAGTTCCAGAAGGTGAGACAACCATAGTATACTTGAAGGATTTCCTACCTATCTCAGGTTGAACCTAGTATACACAGTGGACATCAGGCTGGGTACAGTTTACCGACACGTCTCTGGCTAAAGGTGCCCCCATACACATAGGCACAGGGGGTCCGGCATTAAATAAAAATGATACAGAATCTAACTTTGAATGCATTTTGTAGCTCATTTTTTAAAATTCTTTGTTTGCTTATTTATCAGCCTTAATTATATCTGTGAAGTCTATCTCTCTTACAATGTACAGACATTAATCTCTGCTCCATTTTTTGCTCTCTTGGTTAAAGTTTTAAGCCTCTCTTCATAGGGGCTACCTCTGAGTCTTTCTAGCTTAGTTTTAAGCCAAAGAAAGGTCATAGATTGTGTTCAAACATCTTCAGCCAGTAAGATTCCACATTTCCACCTCCAAGTATTGGAGAAGATATCTAGAAACCAGAATCCTCTTACATTGATAGTGGAAATGCAAAATTGTGCAACCATTTTGAAAAACAGTTGACAGTTTCTTTTAAAAAAGGTTAAAAATAAACTTAGCCTTCAATCCAGCCATTCTACTCTGAGAAATATATCCAGGAGAAATGAAAATGCATGTACAAACAAAGATATGTACCTGAATGTTCTTGGCAATATTATTCATAACAACTCAAAACTGGAAACAATTCAAATGTCTATTAAGTGGTGAATGAAACGAGATGTGGTATGTCCAAAAAATAGGGTACTATTCAGCAATAAAAACAAGTGCAATATAGATAGGACTTACAACAATGGATAAACCCAAAGATAAAATGTTATGTAAAATAAGCCAAGTGAAAAAGACCACATGCTACATGATTCAATTTATATTAAACATCCCAAATGCCACATTCAGAGAGATAGAAAACAGATCAGTGGTTGCCTGTCTGGGAAGGGTGGAGGAAGCGGTGAGTGGGAGGGAAGTGAAGATTGACTGCAAATGGAGTGGAGGGAAATTTGGGGTATGATAAATATTTTGAAAACTGAATTGTGATGATAGTTGCGTAGCTCTATAAATTTGGTAAAAATATTTGGATTGCACACATATAATAGGTGAATTTCATGATATGTAAATTATAACCTCATTAAAGCTACATAAATAATTGTAAAAGGAGAGTTCAGATGAACAGTTTGTATATATAATAATTAACTGGCCAAATTTATCTGGGAAAATTGTCAGAGAGTTAATGGAATCTTATCAGAGAGATATGATCTCTGTGATCTTAGGCAAGTCACTCAATCCCTCTAGCCCCAAATATTCCTATGTACATACACGTTTCTATATTTCCAAACTTTGAATTCCTTAATCTCTTTCTTTTGCTAAAATTATATTATTCGAATTAGGAATAAATGTTTAGTTGATAATGTAGAGTCTTAGTAGAAGTGTTGAGGGTTTTAAAAATCATGCAGGAAAGAAAGGGTAGTAGTTGACAACATGTAGTACTTCCTACTTAATCAGAATATAACAGTTTACCACACAATCTTCATTACCAGAAAAGTAATGAAGGACCATAATGATAATATGAAAAATTCAATTCCTTAATTTTTGCTTCTTTTTAAGTACAAAAGACAGATAGTTATGGTAGGATAAAATATTACAATGAAGAAATACTGACATAAAATTGAACTTCTCTGTGTTCCTCAGATGTTAAACTATGTAAGAGAAGGTTATAGAGGCCCATTTCCCTCACTGACCAAAGGCAGTTTACACTTGTGAAGGACATACAAGATTTAAGAAAAAAAAAAGTACACAAATTAGAATACATTTGATTTCCAGAGAAACAGTAAGCTGTGAAGGTTAAGAAAAATAATAAAACAGGTTACACTGATATTGTCATACCTGGGAGCACACGGTGGACAAGACAAAAAGGGAAGACGGAAAAGATCTAGAGGATAGTGTTAGGACGGGGAAGCTAAGTTTTTGACACTTGGAGGGTGGGTATCTATTTTAATTTTATAATAGCAGTAAAGGAAGTTACAAATTTAAAAATGCATGTGAAACTGGGAGGTTCTTTATTGTGTATGCTGCTTATTTATTAGACAAAATCATGATATATAAACGCATAATCTTTAAAACAAGGGATTACTGAATATTTCAAAACACGTTACATTGAAAGAATTCGACCCAGGAGATGATCTTTTAATCATACTGTATCTATAAATATAAAAACAGGAAGATATCTGAAAACGAGGAGGATCAATTACAGTATGTTATAATATTTTTTTTTTTTTTTTTTTTTTTTTTTTTTTTTTTTGCAGTGAGCGATCTCGGCTCACTGCAAGCTCCGCCTCCCGGGTTCACGCCATTCTCCTGCCTCAGCCTCCCGAGTAGCTAGGACTGCAGGCACCCACCACCATGCCCATATAATATCTTAACTTAGCCCTATTCACCAGTGTTCTGGAAGTTTGAAAGCATTTGTCAGTCATGCTTTCACTTCATTAAAGGCATAAACTCCAATTCCATTTCAGGACTAATTTCAAGTATCTGTTTCTTCCTGTGAGGAAACAGATTGGTCCTCACGCCTGTGACACATGCGAGCTTAGTCATGCTCGAGGAGTCTGCTTGTGAAGATTGACCCACTCTACTCTTCAATACAGCAGGAGAGGCTTGTGGAATAGAAACACATGGCCTTCCAATGAGCTTTTTCTGATATGTAAATGCTATGCCAAGAAAACTGTACCCAGCTTAGCTACAGATACACAGTGAGTAAACCAAACAAATTGGCTTTATTTTGCTATCCAAAAATACCTCAGGTCCAAGAAGAAAGCCTTCTTTCTCTCTCTCTTTTTTAACTCTCTCATATCTATTAAAAGTAGCATAAACCTAGTCATCAAGCAAAGGACTCTCCTTTCCATACATTTGTGAATGGTGTCAGGCTCTTTTTGCAATCGCTACTATTAGTTTAAAAGTATTCCAGACTCTTGCCTGAGCATGTGCCAGAGCCCCATTCTCTACAGATTGTGCAGCCAGCTGCCCTTTGACAAATGACATTAGCTTTCTGTTGGTCCCTTGACACAATCTTACTACTGTCAGTTGGGAAACTTTCACTACTTCTGAAAGCACCTTTCTGAATCTCTCTGCCTCATTGGCTCTCTCTCCCATTTCAAATGTCAAGCAAGAGCATTCTATTTCTCATCCCCTACGCTTCTTGGATTCTTTTCGCTTCTGCTATTTCTGTTTTTCTCTAGGTAGCTATGCGACTTTAACTGTAAGCACTGTGGACACACAGTTTTTATAGTAAATACTTTAAATAAATTAATTTTTAAAAAAGCAACATTATAATTTCAGCTTTCAGCTACTACTTAAACCTTTATGCAGCCAGATGAAAATGTAAAATTCTGGAAACATTTTACTCAAGACATAAGTGGAAATTCACCTAGCTAAGTAACTAATGTGAGGTTAGTACTTAGGAAAAAAATGAATGTTTAAGTATGCCATAAAGAATTGAGATGCCCTTGATCCTTTACAGTGAGATAAGTTTTGTAATGAATGGCAGGGCATGCACACTTGCATACCTGTATACTTCATAAACCTGTACGATTAGTCATTCTAGTAACTAGAAGGAAGTCAGACAAGCCTGGAATGTAAGCGCTCTGACCACATGTGTAGATGTACTGAAACAATATTTAACTGCACTAAGAGGAACTAAAGATATAATTTATTAGATATAATTATAAGATATATGATATCATATATTAAAATATATAAGATAAGAATAAGATAATATATAACATATTATAAGATATAATTTATAATTTTCTCCCGATAAAAATCTTTTTGCTGTATATGTAAGACATCTCAGCTATATGAAGAGACAATATGCATTTAGTGTAGAATATTCTTTTAAATAGAGATTTAAAGAGATGAAACAGCAGTGCAAAAATGTGTGTATTGATAATCCTGGAGACTATCAATGTCCAGCCTTTTTAGAGTCCTTACTCTATGACTTTTGGTAAGTCTCTTAAATTACAAATCTCAGTTTTCTCTTCTGCAAAAAAAAGAGAATGGCTTTACTTTCCAATTTTGTATTTTGAAGTAATGTTAGTTTAGAGAGCAGTTCTCCAGAAGGTAACTACCATTGCAGAGACATGATATTGCTGCTTTAATTTATTTTTCAAGATATCTCAGTGTTCCTCAACAGACATTCATGTACCTTGCTAATTACTGCTCCACAAACATGTGTTGTATACTTTGACAATTATAAGAGAAGTACAAATATTTACTTATCTCAAATGATATAACCTCAGAGGGGGGTGAAAAATAAGTTCTGGCATGAAGAATGAGAAGGCGTTGATGGTGGCGAAGAGAGGTAGAAAATTGCTAAGAAGACATGAAGTGTAATTCCAATTAAGTACATCAAATGCATTGTTTCTAGTATACTAATACCCCAAGCATACATCTGCCTTATTCTCTTCCAAAATAATGTATAAATGTATTGTAGTCTATTACAGGAAGTTTTCTTTCATGGAAATTATTTCTATTTTTTAAATGAAAGTTTACAGACAAGATTCACGATAAAGAGTTAACATTGCTGGACACATTCACTTCTTTACTCAAAGGATGCCTATCATCCCAGTCACTATGAAATGAACAAAAGACTAAATAACACAATCTGCTAATTCTAAAAGTAAAACAGTTTTAAACTTAAGTAGGTTCACTTGGTTGTATGACATTACTTACGAAAAAATATCAAAATGCCAAATATCAGTGTATACAGAAGACATATCTTTAACTAAGCAGGGAATATCATCATGTTTTTACATTAGCCATGATTCAAAAAAGAATACTTGAAATATAGGAAATGTAATAATGACAATCTGTGTACTGCTTTTTGAAGTTCCTCAGATAAATGTTATCAGAGAAAGTTATTTGGGGAACATATGATATTGCATTGTATATTTGCCAGTATTTAAGAAAAAAATACATTAAGAATATTTTTTCACTGTTAAATTCCAGGGTTCTCACTGCATTCAAAACATCATTTTCATGGAGTTGCAATTATCTAAATGCAATGCACATTTATTTTAACGCATTGTATATTAACCAGTGCATTTCTTCAAAATAATGCATGTTAATTAAGACAAGCATTTCCAACATAGAGATAGCACCAGCACTATTTGTTAAATGTGTTTTCTATTATAGGTGCAATGATGGTAACATTTGATATGAGTGAAGAACTTATTACTTTTAGGAGCCTGTTAAAGCTACATGAATATATTCAATATTAAGCAATCTGCCATTAATGAAGCAATTACTGGGACAGGATTTCACTGGGGTGTAGAGTAAAACACACTGCTTGCAGGACAACTTCTAACCAATACACAAGGCCAGGAAATGAAAACAGGATCTGCTTTGAAAATGACATTTGAACAATACTTATTGAGTGGCTCTTTGTCAAATTCAGAACACAATTAACTATCGTGGTAGAAAACTGTGACTGAAGCCTCGACTTTGGCACCATCTGTGTCCTACATGTGTTTTTATTTGATGAGTGTTTTAAGAACTAAGAACGTGGGAAGTGTACAGACTTATTATTTCCTATGTGTTAAAGTAGTTATACAAGAATACAGGACAAGAGTCTGATGATTACTAAATTAAAAATTGAAACACTTCTATAATGCGTGGTTTGAATAAATGAAAGCTGTTGGAATCATCATTATGTGTTACTTGAGAAGAACATGGAAGCAATAAATGAGATTTGTCTCATGCTTCATAGTTTGTCATGTGCTCTCCCATGTATTATTTGCTCTGTATATGCACTGAGATTCATGGTCCTTTGAGAGTTAAATAAGTTGGAATCAACCCCATTCAAGGCAGCCTCAGGTCCTCACCAATCTCTGCAAATTTTCCTGGGGAGAGGAAAGACCTTAAGTTTTCTTGGTCATTTCTTGCTCTAAGTGCCAGTTCTCCTTCCTTAACTTTTTCCCAAACTACCCACATTAGGCCTTTGTTTGTCGGTTTGCTGGAGTGGGGAGCAGTATGGTAAATGCACCTGACAACAGTAACTTAAAGCATATCCTGAGAATGACCCTGTGTGGCAGACGTGTGTGTTCGGAGTTCCGAGCTAAAAAAATCCAGGAGTGGCCAACAACCTGAATCCCTGGCTCGTGGAATACAGAGCATACAGGGGACTGAGCCCCTTTGTTGTGGATTAAATGAAGGTTGCCAGGTGGAGGTTCTTCTGGGGAGGATGGTAAGTGAAAATGCTATATAAACTGCATGCTTTTTACAAGCGATTCGAGTTCTTCTGCCCAACCCCCTGCCACTGGACTCTCTTCCCTGTATGAAGCCCCCAGTAAAGCCATATGTCTCTTTTGCTGGCTCCACTTCTCTTCTTTGGCCTCCTGAACCTGGTGCCATCCCTATAGAAGTTAAAAGGGGCCGGAATGACAAGGGCAAAGCAAAAAACCTTAAATCAGATGGATTTCCCTCCTCTGAAGTCTCCCGCTACTTCACCACTGGTTTTTCTTTCAATCACTTCTCTGCCACAGCTTTCTCCCATGTTGCTGGTCTCCTGGGGTCCTTCAACACCCTCCTGTCATCTTATTTAGCTTGATAGCCCCGGTGGCTCTGAGGCTACTTTTGTATATTCAAAATCTCATTAACTTGCTCAGCTACCTACTCTGTTCTCACAGAAAGGCTGGCCGAGGCAATAAACGTGATTATTTGTGCACTGAGAAAATTCACTGCCTGCTCATTTTGTGTGTGTGTGTGAGACAGGGTCTTGCTCTGTCACCCAGTTTGGAGTGCAGTGGCATGATCTCAACTTGCTGCCGCCTCCAACTCCTGGGCTCAAGCCGTCCTCCCCCCTTAGCCTCTGAAGTAGCTGGCACCACAAGCTCAAGCCACCACTCCTAGTTAATTTTTGTATTTTTTGTGAAGATGCAGTTTTGCTATGTTGCCCAGGCTGGTATCAAACTCCTGGCCTCAAGCAATCCACCCACCTTGGCCTCCCAGGGTGCTGGGATTACTGGCGTGAACCACTGTGCCCAGCCATCACTGCCTCGTTTTTAAAACAAAAGCAACACTGCACAACTGTCGAGTTGATGTGATGATTAACTAACAGGGCATCCTTGTAAGGTAGGTATTACTATTATTCCTGGTCCACACATGAGGAGATTGAGGTTCAATGCTATTTTCTGGCTGTCAGTGTTCATACAAGAAGGGAAGAACAAAACTAGGACTTGAATCCAGGCAACTCTATATTGCTGCATCTTTCTGATGCTCTGTGGAGTGCTTCTATTTTTGGTAATACATTACCATCATACAATTTCATGATATATGGAATTATTTTGCAATTAAATATATGTATTTTTCTTTTTTCTTTTCATCATGGAATATTTACAGGGCCTTGAGCTTCCTCCATCAAACTTTTTTCTGTGCCTGGATTCTGTCTTCCACCATGGTTTATGTGTGAGTGCAAACAAAGCACAGCTGCTGTGGACGGTAGCATTCCTGTGGGATATGCACCCTTCATTGTTTTCTTCTTCCCCAGGAAAGTGCTGTGGTCATGCTGACATAGATCTGCATCAGGACTGCGAGGATTGGAAGAGGAAATAAGCTGAATAATTCCAAAGCAGTCTGACATCTGTGCAAGTTTGGACGTCTTCTCATTAAATGCAGACAGCACATGTTCTTTCAACATGTCCTGCATCCCTTTGGTTCTGCTCAGAAAATGGAAAGCATGCTAGATTTTCCAAGTAAAGATAATTTAATAAGGGTAAATTTGTCTAAATTTGATACACAGGTGAAGAAAGAACTGAGAATTCAATTAGACAATTTGAAGCAATTAGACAACCCGGATTAGCAACAGTAGGAAGCTAGGAAAACCCAAGGGTTAAAGGAAGAGTGGAAGGAAATAGAATGGACAGAATTTGGAAGCCAGGACATATGGCTGGGCTGCCTGGTAGGATCTGGAACCATATGGGAGGTACATCCTCTTCTATATACTGTGAGGCAGAACAAGAAAGAAAAATACTTCCCACACTCCAGTATTCCTGCAGTGCTCCCATTTCAAAACTAGTCAAAACCCAGATGGCAAAAAAGCTTGAAAAAAATATTTTCCTAAAATACCTAGCAGAGTGGAAGGTGGGAAATGAAGCAATGAGCAAATGAAAGGCATACTTGTCCCCCAAAATCCAAAGCTGTTAAATGCCTTCACCTTCTGTCAGCTATAAATACAGTTAATGAATGGCTCTAATAAGTGAGGCCTCTACAACTTTATCTCAAAATCATTTTCTAGGATCCAACATTTATCTACTTTTGTATCAATATTAATGATAATATTTTTATTAATATAAGTAATTTATAATTACTTTTAATTTTAAGTAAAATCATAAAGAGAAACTACAAAGTGCTTCATAACCAGTGCCTTGATTTTTCTCTTTAGTATATTCTTCTCTCTTAAGACTTGTCAGTTATGATCTAGTTCTTAATACCATGGTTTCAAGGACAATTTTTCAAGATATGCGGTGATTCATTTGATGTAGTTCACCAATGAGTTTTTCTCTAGTCTGAGAAATTTTCTCATCCTACAGCATGTCAGTTTCTTAAATGCAGGAGCTAAAGGAGAAAGAAGTTCTCCAGATGGAAGACAGGCTGAGAAAGGGCAGGGAACTGCCAAGGAACTGGGAATGCTTCCTCTGAAATGTTGGCTATTGCGAGTCCTTCCTTCCAATAACCAAATTAAAAAAGAAAAAAGAAAAACTAGCCTGTTTTCTGAAGGTCTCAGTGAGACTGAGGGTCATGGAGGACTTCTGTTTATAAACTGGAGCCTACATGCCCATAGCAGTGCTTGGCCTGAAAGGTCTATGAAGTCCTTCACCATCTGATGTGTGATATGAGCTGTCATGTTCTGAAAGATACAACTCCCTGAACTGGGAACCCAGGGATATTATAAACCAACTTCCTTCCTTCTTTCTCTAAGATTGTTTTTAGAAACTCCTGTTAGAAAATACATTTTTCTGGCTTAGGAGTCATTGGGTTTATGTTTAACAAATATGTGTTTATGGAGTGTTTTGTCTAAGTATGGCTATAAACATATTTTTAAGAGTTAACCAGTTAAAACAATTTTCAGGATGAAAACTACTAGAAAAATAACCATTTATTAGATTTCACAGAATTGTGTGTGTGTGTGTGTGTGTGTGTGTGGTGGTGCAATCATGGCTCACTGCAGCCTCCACTTCCCAGGCTCAAGCAATCCTTCTACTTCAGCCTCTCAAGTAGCTGGAACTACATGTGTGCAACACCATGCCTTGCTAATTCTTGTATTTTTTTTTTTTTTTTTTTTTTTTTTTTTTTTGTAGAGATGAAGTTTCTCCATTTTGCCCAGGCTGATCTTGAACTCCCGGGCTCAAGTGATCTGCCTACTTCAGCTTCTGAAGTGCTAGAATTACAGGCATGACCCGCTGCGCCTGGCAGAATGATTTTTAAATATGTAATATTTTCTACATGAAGGCAGTTTTTGCTCATTAAAACTGTTCAAAAGATAGCCATATTTTATTTTTAATTTTGGTATAAAATATTAAGTTTGAAATTGTTATATAAACATGTTACTCAATGGAGGATATTTGAGAGCTATGTTTGGGATCATTTGTGTCTTAAGTGATGCAAGTGGTAGGTGGAAAACATTTAGATAAATATTAGTGCTATTTAGCAGACAGAATCACCCTCAGCTTTTCTGCACTGCTATGACATTTAGAGTGGTACATTTTCATCCTCTGATTTTTTTTCTGCTGCTTCCCTTAGGTTTGTATTTATCTCAGTTTTCCTGATGTAAACAAATCCAGCAGTTTTGGTTACCTGGACATGGTTTTATTTGGGTAACAGGATATATTAAGGTTGCTAGTGTTATGGTTCACAAGGCATTTCTCTTATGATTTCCTATGAAGAGCTTAAGATACTTTATTAAATCTGTAGATAATTCTCATAACTCAGTGAAGGTAGGTTAAGTATATTTTAAAAAATCTTAGTAGCCGATCTATCTATATTTCATTTTAATCTCTTTTACCAACAGCTATCCCAGTGAGCTTTCCCAAATTTTAAAAATTCAATTAATGAATAATCATTTCAATTAAAGAAATAAACAAAATTGAAAGTGCAAAGTAATTCAACATTAACACAAGTATTAGGGTCATGCCATATCTTTCAACCCAACTTATGCTCTTAGAACAAAATTGATTATTAAGGAGAACTTAGTAATTTGCTAATAAAAGGATTATCTTACTCTATGATTTGATATCAAATTCCAGAGCTTATTAAAGTAACTTAACCTGTTTCCTCTATCTGTCTTTGGCTCTAGAATTTGTTTTGTTTTGATTTGCTTTTTAATAATTCTTACCGTTAAATAAGAAATATAGAAAGCTTCATAAAACAAATGGGTAGGTTACTAAATTACCAAAAGGTGTACACTCTTGTAACTCTCACTTATGTCAGGAAGTAAACCTCACCAGCTTCCTCAGGACAGTGCTGTCTGCTTCCTCAATCACAGCTCTTTTCTTTCCACTAAGAATTGCCCTCCTGACTTTTAATTGCCTCCTTATTTTATTGTCCAATTGTGCTTCCATAGACACTGACGTTCAGTTTTGCTTGTTATTTTTTAAAGTATTTTTAAATTTATAGGATCCCTCTGCATCACTTGTCTTTTCTGAAATCTGTTTATGAAAGAGCCAGAGTCATGTGTCCTGTCAATTTTCACAGGCTGGATTTTGCTGATTGCGTTCCTGTATAGTTTAACACGTTCCTCTGCCTTTTCTGATAATTGGTAGTCATATCTAGAGACTTAAACTCAGGCTAGCTTTATTTTGTATTTATGTTATTTTTTAGGTAAATTTACTTCCTACTTGGTGTGTGCCCCTCATGAGGAGTCATAGGAGGGATTCAATGACAAATTGTCACTTTTGATAAAGTTAGAAGCTCTTAAAGTTCAGTACTTGGATCTTTTTTATTCCTTAGGATTTGCAAAATGTTGATACTATATTCTGTCTGTCATTCTTCTTTTATCTGTTCATTGAAATATTTCTGTAAGGAGCCACATTCCTTCCTCTACTCTTTGGTCACCCAGTTCTACAGATCATATAAGAAAAGCAGAATAAATGCTTGATTGTTTCCTTTTATTTATACCCAGTTTATGTTTTGAAGCTGTGTTGACTGTAATTCTCGTATACTTTGGAACACAAGATCTATAATTCATCTTTAAATACCACAGCTGTGCTTTTCAAAGGAGAAATATGCTTATTTTAATTTTGGCCACATATCTGAGTTATTCAAAATTTGCTTTTGAGATATTACACTCTGAACTATATAATGAGCCAATGCTGTGTAAACTCCACTTCTTTCAAAATTCCACCTTCACCAGATGTGTAGTCAGATTGCCACTCACTTTAATTCATTTTCCTTATAGATGTTCTACTGTGCTTTGTACTTTCCTTCATGCTACCAGTATTAGAGTTTTATTTTCTACTTCCATCACTGGATATATTATATTAGGCACTTCAAAAATAATTATTTCACTTTTATTTTTTCTGAAAGTTTTCTCATTTTCATTTTATATCTAGAAATGGAGATGATTCAATATTAAATAATTATGTGGGTAACGCTGAATCCTTGATCAAGCTGTTTAGATCTTTGTAGCTGCATCTTGTATATTTAATTTGCCTAAGAGGCCGCAATGTCACAGAGAGAAAAAACAAACAAACAAACAAAAAAAACAGAGATGATCTGAGTGTCCTCAGAGACCATGCCTGACTTCTTGGGGATGAAGATCTATTGGAAATATGATTAAGTTGTTCTAATTAAATGTGGGCTCAGAAATAAGCAATGTTCATTTGGTGCACAAAACCCTTGGGGCTGAGAGGCATAGAGTACATATCCCTTAAAGTGAAGGAGCACATTATATAAAGAAAGAAAAGAGAAACCGTACAGTAGGGACCAGATAATGCAGAGACTTTATGTTAATGAGTGTTTTGCACTCTTAAACAAATGCATTTTAAGCTGGGGAAATGACATATTTCCATTTTGAGATCACTGCAGATATAGAGAAGGACTTAGAAGGACTAAGAATGGGTATGGAGGAATTTGTTAAGGAGATAATAAGATAATCCAAGTGATAAAGTATGGTAGATTGCACAAACATAGTCAAAGAAGATAGCAAATAAAGTGCATGTATAAGATAAATATTTAGAGTTTCCCTTTGCATTAGCGAAGTTAAAGGTCAAATTTGCCATATAACTAAAAGCAGGGCATCTTCACGTGGACTTATTCAGAATCTTTCTCTGCTTTTTTCTTTTATGTTCTTCTCTTCCATCCTCACATCTCCTGCCTCTGTCTGTATCTTGGTGTAATTCTAAACCTGGAATTCACAAATAAAATAATGCATAACACAAAACATTACTTTTGTCTTTTGTTTGGTATATAAAAAACATATATGTGGCAAAATTACCTGACATAGGTTACTGCTGGATAATTTTTTCTACTAAAGGATTGAATATGAATAAATTGCTACTTATTCTTTTACTCCATCTCATGAAAATTAAACAACAAAAATTTCTAAGAGCTTATTCTAAACGAAGTATGTATATCCTATATGTTTTATCTTCCTTAATCTTCATGACAATTCTAAAGATCTACCTTCATGGATGGAAAGAAGTAAGATGTAAAAAAACCAAAGCAATCTGTACGAGATCTCCTAGCAAATAAATGAGAGTTGGATTTCAGGATAGTTACATATAGCTGTTTGGTTCAAATGCTGAAAAACACAAGACAACTTATTGTCATACACTGTTATTTTATATATCGAGTGTCACGTTTTGTTTTTTACTTACAGGTAGGCATGTTGTGCCTGTTTTTTCCTTGTATTGGTAATGGGTTATAAAGGGTCACCCACATTCTCTTGCCTTGTTCATTTTATGATGGCATATATTTGCAATATTTTCTTAGGGGACTTTCCTGGCATTCATTGTCCTGGCCCACAGTACAATAAATGAGCATTACCAATGGTACCTGGCTCTTATAAATATGCAAAATCATAGTAAAACATTTTGTTATAATTTTTTCTGAGCATAAAAGACACAAAATGATATAGAAAATGAAAAATCAAAAAATGATTTAGAAAATAAAGAAGGAATTAAGAATAACTTTTGTCTTACTACACAGGGATAGCATTTTTTATTGTTTCCTTTCATTTTTAACTTTTTATTACTGAAGTCCTGAAACACACATGCAAATATCAGATCTTACATACTATGCAAAAAGGCATATGACTTACAAGTTTATAAATTTGTAAACATTTTATAATAATGTAATCAACACTCTGGCTTTAAAACCCAGAAACTCATTCAACTAGCATAAGCAAAAGAAAAATAATACTAGATAACAAGGGGATCTATTATTTGACTGAACTAACGTCAGAAGGGGATCTCTGTCCATAAGGTCTGGAATCAAAAAGTCAAAGGCCTTTTGAAAACCAGACTTATCTACTTGTTTTTCTCTCCTCTCTTTCTCTCTGTCTTTGTCTCTCTTATTTATTAGTCTCTTTTTATAGCATCATACTTTCCTCTGTTTCTTCTATCTTTCTTTGAAGCTAGTGTGAAGTACTTTTTAATCAGCCTAGCAATTTTGGAAAAACCATCCTACTCCACTCTTAGTCTATATGGTTCAATAGTGCTGACCTCACCACTGAGGTGAACAACTGACCCAGGTCTGGTCAATAGATTACAGTAATTGTTTGAAAAATAAGTATATGGAATATTAGTTAAAATCACTAAATTTGGAGTAAATTTAGACATGTGTTCAAATCTCAGCACCAACACTCTCTAGCAATACAGGCCTGTGCTAATTATTTATGGTCCCTAAGACTTAGAACAGTATCAAGCAAATAGTAAATAATTAATACATGTTAGCTGTTATTTCTACCAAGTTAAGAAGAGGCAGTGTTGAGAATATTTATGGAAATACTGGATTATTAAGGAACTGTTGGAATTTAGGGCTGAACAAAGCTTGAAGTTGTTGACCATTTTGCCACCATAAGGACACATCCTGCTTGAGAATAAAAATGTATACTAAGATAAGCTGAATCAGTGTATTAGTCCATGCTCACTCTGCTATAAGGACATACCAGAGACTGGGTAATATATAAAGAAAGAGGTTTAATTGACTCACAGTTCCACATGGCTGGGAGGCCTCAGGAAACTTACAGTCATGGTGGAGGGCATCTCTTCACAGAGTGGCAGGAGAGAGAATGAGGCAGGAGAGAGAATGAGGCAGGAGAGAAAATGAGTTCTGAGCAAAGGAGAAAGTCCCTGCCCATAGTGGAGGCTCTCTACCCAATCCAGGTAACCATTTTTCCTTTCTAGGCCTCCAGGCCTATGATGGGAGGGGCTGCCATGAAGGTCTCTGACATGCCCTGGAGACATTTTCTGCATTGTCTTGTTGATTAACATTTGGCTCCTTGTTACTTATGCAAATTTTTGCAGCAGGCTTTAATTTCTCCTTAGAAAATGGGTTTTTCTTTTATATTGCATCATCAGGCTACAAATTTTCCAAATTTTTATGCTCTGCTTCCTCTTGAATGCTTTGCTACTTAGACATTTTTTTCTGCCAGATACTTTAAATCATCCCTCTGAAGTTCAAAGTTCCACAGATCTCTAGGGCAGGAGCAAAATGCTGCCAGTCTCTTTGCTAAAACATTGCTGGTCTTTTTGCATAGCAAGAGTGACCTTTTCTTCAGTTTCCAACAAGTTCCTCAGCTCCATCTGAGACCACTTCTGCCTGGACTTCATTGTCCATATCACAATCAGCAATTTGGTCAAAGTCATTCAATAAGTCTCTAGGAAGTTCCAAACTTTCCCACATCTTCCTGTCTTCTGCGCCCTCCAAACTGTTCCAACTTCTGCCTGTTGCCCAGTTCCAAAGTCGCTTCCACATTTTCAGGTATCTTTGTAGCAGCACCACACTCTCTGCAGTACCAATTTACTGTATTAGTCCATTCTCATGCTACTATAAGGACATATCAGAGACTGCATAATTTATAAAGAAAGATCTAATTGACTCACAGTTCCACATGCCTGGGGAGGCCTCAGGAAACTTACAATTACAGCAGAAGGCATCTCTTCACAGGGCAGCAGGAGAGAGAATGAGTGCAGAGCAAAGGGGGAAGCCCCTTATAAAATCATCAGATCTCTTAAGAACTCACTCACTATCACAAGAATAGCATAGGGGAAACCACCCCTATGATTCAATTATCTCCACCAGATTCCACCTTTGACACATAGAGATTATTACAATTCAAGATGAGATTTGGGTGGGGACACAGAGCCAAACCATATCAGTCAGGAACGGATGACAACATAGGAGAAACCGGGTGCAGCACATTTATCTCTGGACATATCAATTACATGAGCCAATGCATTCCCTGTTTTGTTTAAGGCAGAGTTCTTTTCTCTTGAAATTATACTGACCAGTATTCTGCATTTTATTACCCACATAATTATCTAGATGAGAAAAAAATATATAAAGATATATCTTTTAATTAATTAAATTATTAATCGATACAAAATTAATGTGAATTTTATATATTAATATATAAAAGATATTTTATATATACAAATATATATCATATTATCTAAAATGCCTGTTTGAGTACATTCATGTACTTAGAAATTCAGTTGGGAAAACAGTATAAAATGAGAAGACTCACACTTTAGCCTATTAGTACCTCTATGCCTAAAGTTTTATAATTTCAAATTTAATTATTTTTAAGATTATAACTTCTTCTCTACTTAATATGCTTCTGTTCTCCTTGTATGTCATGTTTCTTTGATTTAGCAACATTAAACAATATCTTTGATTCTCAATGTGTACTATAATATATTCAGTGGTAAACATTTATAAGTATGCAAATATTTTTCTTTGTACTATAAGTAGTACAATTGGTTACATAGAGAAGGAACTATAATCTAAATCCTTAAACTTTGCTCTTCAAAGGGGAATTTTCAGAGTATCAATGTCAGATGCATGATCCTTTTGATTTTTCAAAATATTTTGTTTTCTACTAAGATCATAGCTGGTTTTGTTATTGTGTTATTTTTCTTAGCTTTAACTTGCAATTCTGCCTGTTTCATTGTTGAAGGAAATGATGCAAGAAGAGCTGGCCTCCTGATTTTACTTCACTTTCTCATTAAAGATATTTATTATTCATGGAAACTTCCAACTTCTTGTTTTAGTTTAAACAAGATTATTTTCTCAGACCATGCACAGCTGTCCTCTTCAGATGTCTCTTCATTGAAATAATGAGTTAAGATCGTTGCTTCATATACTTCATATCTTTTTCTCTTAGGCTATTTGTTCAATATGCTGTAGTATATATTTGAGTATGTTTTCCTTAAATAGTATATAGATGCCAACATTTATTTTCTGTGTACATAAAAATGTATTTTGTTCTCATTATTCATTAATGAGTTAAATAGGTCTATAAATCAATCTTCAAAATCATTTTTTCCAAGCCTTTGAATGCCTTGCTTCAAACTGTTTTGATATCTTGCATTCCTAAAGTCAATTTAAAGCTCATAGTTATCTTTATATGGGGAATGACCTGTTTGAGTGTATATTCTCTAGTTTATTTTTGTTTTCCAACTGCGGTAAATTTTTAACTTGATTTTTGCAATTGTTAAATGTTAACAACTTAACAACTAGGTGTGAACTTTTTATTCATTCATCTCACTCTGTAAGTATTGAGCTTTTCATTCTAGTAATACATATTTTTGTAGGGATGGGGTCAATTAATTTTCCTGGAGTCCCTAATAAGTGGATGTTGCACATTTATAATTTTTTCTTCCCTGATCCATTTCCTTTTGGTTTTTTTTATCATTTATGAAATTTTTATAAATTTGTCTTTTTCCCTATTCTAAGAGAATCTCTACATTTTTTTCTTCCAGATTACATATTTGTTCTTCTGAAATTCCATTTTATTTTTCAGCCTCCTACTAACTTAAAATTTTAAATTTCTATCACCATCTCCTTGTCTGTTCTGCAGTTTGTTCCTTTTCCACAGAAGCATCTATTCATTCTATGGATAAAACGTTCTCTTGAATTTTTCTGATAATTCAGGAAAATTTTATTTTCATTTTGTTCTTACATTAAATAATCATTTCTCTGTGGGGTAATTCATTGGATCTATTTCTCTTCATTCTTCCCTTTCGTGTTTGTGTGGGGTTTTTTCCCCCCCACTTAGTAGCTAATGATTTTTACTTAGTCATTTATATCTGAAAAAAGGACTAGCCTAGGTGATCCTGAAAAGTTGGAGGTTGATTTGCTAATAATTTTCTTCCCTGTAAAAAAAGATTAAAAGTGGCCGGGCGCGGTGGCTCACGCCTGTAATCCCAGCACTTTGGGAGGCCGAGGCGGGCGGATCACGAGGTCAGGAGATCGAGACCATCCCGGCTAAAATGGTGAAACCCCGTCTCTACTAAAAATACAAAAAATTAGCCGGGCGTGTTGGCGGGCGCCTGTAGTCCCAGCTACTTGGGAGGCTGAGGCAGGAGAATGGCGTTAACCCGGGAGGCGGAGCTTGCAGTGAGCCGAGA